>NC_000001.11:211214890-211366405 GCF_000001405.40 Homo sapiens
GAATTTAATGGCAGCACATCTCCACCCAAGGAAATACAAAGAGTTTTCCAAGCAAAAAGGAAAAAAACCCCTAATTGAAGCTCAATAACACAGGTATATAAAGAAATGGTAGTGATATAGTTAAAACTAAATGAATATTGACAGTTAAAACAATGATAATATCTTGGGGAGGTTAAAATATATGTAAAAATACAGAAAATTTAAATACATTATATCTCCTGCTATACTTCATGGTAAAAAAATAAATAAATACATGATAAGGATGCCAAAAATAGGTGCGAAGGGAAAAGGAGTTTACTACACTATTTTTCAAGAATAAGGGTAAAATAAAGTACTTTCAGTCATAAAATAACTTTTTTTTCCTTTTTAGAGGGAAAGAGATGGGGTTGTCACTCTTTTGCCTAGGCTGGAGTACAGTGGCATCATCATAGCCCACAGCAGTCTTGATCTGCTAGGCTCAAGAGGTCCTCTCTCACCTCAGCTTCCCAAGTAGCTGGAACTACATGCACATGTCCCCACATCCAGCTAAGTTTTTTATTTTTTGGAGAGACAAGGTCTCACTGGGTTGCCCAGGCTGGTGTGGAACTCCTGGGCTCAGGCAATCCTTTTGCGTCAGCCTCCCAAAGTGCTGGGATAACAGGCATGAGCCACCACGCCTGGCCATAAAAAACTATGAAAGTTTAGTACTAATAAGCTGTTGGTGAAAAAACAACTAAAGGATTTTCTTTGGCAAAATTTAAAGGAACCCAGAAAGAAGTGGTGGGAGTAAATATATTGGTAAATGTTTTGGTAACGCTAAACAGATATGGACTATAAGGGAAAAAAGGAAAGAAGGAAGGGAGGAATGGAGGGAGAGAGAGAGAAAAGAAAGGAAAACAAAAGAAAACAAAGGAAAGAAGGAGGGAAAGAAGAAGAGAGGGAGGGAGAAAGGGAGAGAGTAGCAATAATAATAAATCACTAATTTGAGAAAGTTTAAAAACAAGCTAGAGGCAACATGAAAATGGGGACAGTGTTGTATCTAAAGTTATAGCATTCAAGTTATATTTTTCTCTATGCTTTTTGTCTTTTCAACATTTTCTACTCTGGTGTGTGCATTATTTTTGTAATCGGGATAAGCTATAAATGCTGGGGGTATTGGTTTTCATTTTTGTTAATAAGATTCTACTTCTGTAGAATGATTAACTATAAGGTCCAAACATATGTTCTATAGATCCATGATCATAGATAATACAATTAAGATTCAAGAAGTTAATAAACTTGTTAAGATTGCACACTGAGCATAGGGTGGGCTAGAAGAGAATTCCGACATCCTCCCTTCCAACTTCACAGTGGATTGAAAAAAACACATCAGTTCTTACTTACACCTGTCACCAAAATCTTACTCATAATACAGACTATGGACCAGGATCTGGACTTTTTTTTTTTTTTTTTTTTTTGAGACAGAGTCTCTCTCTGTCGCCCAGGCTGGAGTGCAGTGGCACGATCTCGGCTCACTGCAAGCTCTGCCTCCTGGGTTCACGCCATTCTCCCGCCTCAGCCTCCCGAGTAGCTGGGACTACAGGCGCCCGCCACCACACCCAGCTAATTTTTTGTATTTTTAGTAGAAACGGGGTTTCACCGTGTTAGCTAGGATGGTCTCGATCTTCTGACCTCGTGATCCGCCCACCTTGGCCTCCCAAAGTGCTGGGATTACAAGCGTGAGCCACTGTGCCCGGCCAACCTGGACTATTTTTAAGCAGGTTTTTATTTCCCTCAAAAAAATGAATTAATAATGAAAATAACTCAGGAGGAGTAATAGTTGGCAATTTAACATTTTAGGTTTTCTCTATGACCTGTAATACCAGCTAACAGCATAACCTTAAAAAGGGTACTCTAAGTACTATTGCTTTTTAAGACGTCCACGATTGGATGAATCTCTTATCCCTAATTAGACTCTGGGTCAACTTGTACATAATGTTCTTACCAATAATACAGGAAAGCTCTCTTGCTCAAGGAAACATAGCCAGTAATCTCAAATAAGTAAATATGTGCTATGCTGTGAAGAATATGCAAAGGCGAAGAGGATGATTCTCTTATAATCTCCCTTGGTTATCATATTTAACACACTTTGGAAATGTATTTTTTGGTTAATTATGTAGTTAGGCCATCACACAGAGTAGCAAGTAAATTGAGACAGTTCTTTGTTTCAAAACTTAGCAGATTTTGGCATCCAAAAAGTATAGATGAGGTATGCTAAGGTTCTGAATATTTGGGCTTACCTCATATAAAATAAACTTTATTCATTTATTCAACAAATATTTACTGACCACTTCAAAGGGTCAAGGACAGTTTTAGGGACTGGAAATTTGGCCATGCAAGGCCACTGCCTTAAAAGAGCTCACATTCTAGTGGATAAAGCTAAGAAATAAACCTTTTATTTTATATATATATGTATTTTTTTTAAGACAGGGTCTCGCTCTGTCACTCAGGCTGGGGTGCAGTGATGCAATCATAGCTCACTGCTACCTCAAAACCTCAAACTCCTAGGCTCAAACCATCTTCCCACCTCAGCCTCCAGAGTAGCTGGGACTACAGGTAAGTGCCACCACACTTGGCTAATTATTTTTATTTTTGTAGAGATAGGGGTCTCACTATGTTGCCCAGACTAGTCTTGAACTCCTGGCCTTAAGCAATCCTCCCGCTTCAGCCTCCCAAAGTGCTGAGATTACAGGTATGAGTCATTGTGTCCACTGGAAACCATTTTTTTAAATTCACAAGGCACCTACTGAGTGTGTTGCATGCTATGATTGAACTCTACAAAATGATATGATGGAAGGAAGTGGGAGTGCTATTTTAGATAAGGTAACAGGGAAAGCCTTTAAGGAAGGTATTTGGGATGCTGGAGGAACAGAAACAAGACCTGGATGGCTGGAACCCAGTGAATGAAAGGAAGGGTGGCACAAAATAAGGATGGAGAGGCAGGCGGGAGCCTGATCATGCAGCTTCATACAAACATTTGCTTGGCATCTCCCCCTTTCCTGTCTTTCTCTGTTTACTAGGTTTCTATTCATTTCATCCCAAAGGCCACAGTCTTTGCTTTTCAGAAAAAGATATCTTAGGAACATAACCTATAGTTCTAATATTCTTGTCTACTTATCTCTAAAATTTAGTCATGCATTCTTCATAGTGCTTAAAATGCCCTAATAGAAAGAATTTCTCTGCAGATCCAGGATAATTGGCAAAGGAGTCAATGAAAGTGATTGTTGAAGACAACAGATAACTTGGGTCTAGCGGTGGTAGAGGTCCTTGGCAGAATTTTCTTTGCTATTTGAAATGTAAATTTATTCTCGCTGTAAAAGCAAACTCAATATTCAACACAAAAATATAATTATTTTATCGGTACAAATTTACCATCTCTTTAATGCCCCCTACTGTGGTATCCTGTTAACCACAGTAATATATTAAAACCGGGATGGAGTCAGCTAAGCTGTAGCTTTCCAGAAGAATGCTTTTTGAAGCTTACCTCCTTCTTCTAAAAACAACATCCTTACTTAACTCTCTGGGCTATAAAATGTTTATGTGAAAAACCTTCCAAAAGAGTTTTAATCAAAAGTCAGAAGCTTATTAAACCTTTTTCTTTCTTTAGTATTAGGATACAGTGCATTAAAATGCATAAGAACAGGTAACAGATGAAGCTTTGTTCTTCAACCCCCTTGATACCTGCAGATTTGATACTTAAAATTACCTTAAGTTCGAGGTAGGAAAGACTTTTCTTCTTGTTTCAAAGCCCTTCCATATCAGCCTCTTACCAAAGCACTTGGAGATAATGTGATGAGAAATGCAAACTAGGAAAGGGAGAATAATCAGTATTTCAAAAGTAATTTCTCTTTTCAAGGATCCTAAAATGTTTAATAGAATATTATTTTAAAAGGCTGGGCATGGAGGTTCACGCCTGTAATCCCAGCACTTTGGGAAGCCAAGGCGGCTGCATCATGAGGTCAGGAGTTCGAGATCAGCCTGACCAACACGGTGAAACCCTGTCTCTATTAAAAACACAAAAAAATTAGCCAGGCGTGGTGATGCACGCCTGTAATCCCAGCTACTCAGGAGGCTGAGGCAGGAGAATCGCTTGAACCCAGGAGGCAGAGGTTGCAGTGAGCCAAGATCGTGCCACTGCGCTCCAGCCTGGGCAACAGAGCAAGACTCCATCTCTCTCTCTCTCTCTCTCTCTCTCTCTCTCTCTCTCTCTCTCTCTATATATATATATATATATATATATATATATTAAACATGTTATCAGGGCCTCACAGACAGGTTGCAGTGAGCCGAGATCGTGCCACTGCATTCCAACCTGGGCAAGAGAGCAAGACTCCATCTCAAAAAAATAAATATATATATATATATATATATATATATATATATATGTAATTTTGAAACATGTTATCAGGGCCTCACAAACACTTGATATTGAGCAAGAAAGTTGCTTTCCAAAAAATTGGTGGAAAACTTTAGAAAATCCTCTTCTGACCTCACTTAGGATGTGTTATTCTATCTACCCAAAATCTACCAAAAATTTGAAATAAAATTACATATCTAACAGTGATTATAGAAATGTGATATACTTCAGAGGAATTTGTACCAATATGGAATATAGCCCAATGTCTTTGTTGCCATATAATATCCAGAAATTGTTTTTAATAATTAACAATGATGTAATTTGTAATACTCCCTAATTAGTTTTGCATAGCTTCTTATAAAATAAATTAAAATTTATTATTGCTAAAAGCTTATAAGTTGCTAAATCTCATGTCAATTCCCTGCCCTCACCTTGTTTACACAACCACAGCATTTAATGCAGATGGTCACAGGAGTGACTTGTCTCGTGGCTTCCTGGACACCACAATCTCCCAGTTTTCTTCACCCTTTCTCCTCTGTTGGCCCCTCCTCATTTTCTCAATCCCTTAATGCCAGAGTGCCCCCGGAGCCAGCGTGTGGTCCTCTTCTCTCCTCCATTTACACTCACTCCCTTGAAGATCTTGTCCAATCTTTAAGTACCAAGTGTATGCCAATGACTCCAAAACAGAGCCAGCTTCCTTGTGAGCTGTGCACTCGCAAGCCCCACCCTCAGAAAAGCCCTGTGCTTTAATGCTCTGCTGTTGCTGAGACAGGGTCTTGCTCTGTTGCCCAGGCTGGAGTGCAGCGGTGCAATCACGGCTCACTGCAGCCTCAACTTCCTGGGCTCAGATGGTTCTCCCACTTCAGCCTCCTGAGTAGCTGGGACCACAGTCGTGCACCACAATGCCTGGCTAATTTTTTTATTTTTTAGTAGAGATGGGATATCACCATGTTTCTCAGGCTGGTTTCAAACTCCTAGGCTCAAGTGATCTTCCCACCTCAGCCCCCCAAAGTGCTGGGATTATAGGTATGAGCCACCACGCCCAGCCACTGAAATTCTCAATAATTTTTTAACAAGGAGTCTTCATTTTCATTTTGCATTAGGTCCTGAGTATGACTTATCCTTCTCCCAGATGTATGTATCCAAACTAACCCTCTCTCCAGACTTTTATAATGAACTGCCTACTCCACATCTCAACTTGAATGTCTAATAGATATCTCAAACTCAACAAGATCAAAATCAAACTCACATTTCCTTCCCTAGACCTGTTCTACCACTAGCCTTCCCATCTCAGTTAGAAATACCTTCATGTTTCCACTTGCTCAGACTACACACTTTGCAGTCTCTTTTGATTCTGTGGCTTCTCTTTTTTTTTTGAGACAGAGTTTCACTCTGTCGCCCAGGCTAGTGTGCAGTGGCGCGATCTGCACCCACTGCAAACTCCACCTCCTGGGTTCACACCATTCTCCTGCCTCAGCCTCCTGAGTAGCTGGGACTACAGGCACCCACCACCGCGCCCGACTAATTTTTTGTATTTTTACTAGAGACAGGGTTTCACTGTGTTAGCCAGGATGGTCTCGATCTCCCGACCTCGTGATCCACCCGCCTCGGCCTCCCAAAGTGCTGGGATTACAGGCGTGAGCCACCACACCTTGCCAATTCTGTGGCTTCTCTTACACTCCACCACCAATCTGTCAGCCAACCACATTGGCTCTACCTTTAAAACCTATGAAGTAGTCAACTGTTTCTCCCCATTGCCACTACAGCCATCCTGGTCTGAGTCACCATCACCTTTTTTCCTGGATCACTGCAGTAGTTTTGAGAGGTGAAGCTGGCTGGGCTTCTGGGTCGGGTGGGGACTTGGGGAACTTTTCTGTCTAGCTAAAGGATTGTGAATGCACCAGTCAGTGCTCTGTGTCTAGCTAAAGGTTTGTAAGTGCACCAATCAGCACTCTGTAAAAATGGACCAATTGGCTCTCTGTAAAATGGACCAATCAGCTCTCTGTAAAATGGACCAATCAGCAGGATGTGGGTGGGGCCAAATAAGGGAATAAAAGCTGGCCACCTGAGCCAGCAGCAGCAACCCACTTGGGTCCCCTTCCATGCTGTGGAAGTTTTGTTCTTTCACTCTTCACAATAAATCTTGCTGCTGCTCACTCTTTGGGTCTGCACTACCTTTATGAGCTGTAACACTCACTTCAAAGGTCTACAGCTTCACTCCTGAAGTCAGCAAGACCACGAATCCACTGGGAGGAACAAACAACTCTGGATGCACCACCTTTAAGAGCTGTAACACTCACTGCGAAGGTCTGTGGCTTCAATCCTGAAGTCAGCAAGACCATGAACCCACCAGAAGGAAGAAACTCCAGACACATCTGAACATCTGAAGGAACAAACTCCAGACACACCATCTTTAAGAACTGTAACACTCACCACGAGGGTACGTGGCTTCATTCTTGAAGTCAGCGAGACCAAGAACTCACAGAAAGGAACCAATTCCGGACACATTTTGGCAACCCAGATGGGACTATCACCTATCGCCAAGCGATGAGTACCATCGGACCCCTTTCACTTGCTATTCAGTCCTATTTTTCCTTCAAACTCAGGTGCTAAATACCAGGCAGCTGTCAGCCAGTTAAAAGCAACTAGCACGGCCACTGGACTAAAGACATGGGTGTCAGGCTTTCTGGGAAATGTATCTCTAACAACCCCCAACTCTTCAGAGTTGGGAGTGTTGATTTCCCTGGAACCAGCTTCCACTTTTCCTGTACTTCTGGGCTGAGCCAAGGGTTGACAGAGGAAAGCCATTCAGCTCCGGAGTCCTGAAAACAAGTTGGTTGATCCTGCAGCCATGAGCAGAACTCTCTGAAGGGGTTTCCTGCCCCTCCACACCTGTGGGCATTTCTCGTCAAGTGGGATGAGAGACTGAGAAAAGAAAGAAGACACAGAGACAAAGTATAGAGAAAGAAAAGTGGGCCTAGGGGACTGGCGCTCAGCATATGGAGGACCCACACTGGCACTGGTCTCTGAGTTCCCTCAGTATTTATTGATCATTATCTCTACCATCTCAGAGGGGGGTATGTAGCAGGACAATAGGGTAATAGTGGGGAGAGGGTCAGCAGGAAAACATGTGAACAAAGGTCTCTGTGTCATAAATAAGTTTAAGGAAAGGTACTGTGCCTTGATGTGCACGTATACGAACATCTTGGTGCATTAAAGAGCAGTATTGCCACTAGCATGTCTCACCTCCAGCCCTAAGGCGATTTTCTCCTATCTCAGTAAACAGAACATACAATCGGGTTTTACACCGAGACATTCCATTGCCCAGGGACGATCAGGAGACAGATGCCTTCCTCTTATCTCAACTGCAAAGAAGCCTTCCTCTTTCACTAATCCTCCTCAGCACAGACCTTTTATGGGTGTCGGGATGGGGGACGGTCAGGTCTTTCCCTTCCCATGAGGCCATATCTCAGGCTATCACATGGGGAGAAACATTGGACAATACCTGGCTTTCCTAAGCAGAGGTCCCTGCAGCCTTCCACAGTGTATTGTGTCCCTAGGTACCTGAGATTAGAGAATGGTGATGACTTTTAACAAGCATACTGCGTTCAAGCACTTTTTTAACAAAGCACATCCTGCATAGCCCTAAATCCATTAAACCTTGAGTCAACACAGCACATGTCTCTGCGAGCACAGGGTTGGGGCTAGCCTTACAGATTAACAGCATCTCAAGGCAGAAGAATTTCTCTTAGTACAGAACAAAATGGAGTCTCTTATGTCTACTTCTTTCTATGCAGACACAGTAACAGTCTCATCTCTCTTTCTTTTCCCCACACTCTCTAAGTCATGTTGCCCAAGTGAGACTTGCCCATCTAACCTATCTATACTGACCCTTGCCTCTTGGGTCCTAATGCCTGTCAGACAAACTTCCTCCCCCCTCTCTTCTCTGAGGCTAGTCCCGCTTCTAAAAACCACTCCTTGTCTCTTGTGCTTTTCTAGTTTCTCCTGTAAGAATGATTTCTAGTATAAACTTCAGAACTCTGTTACCTTATTTAGGCACCCAGGCTCACCAATCAGAAAGACATAATTTTTGCCCAAAGCCCCATCGTAGGGGGACTATCTGGAATTTTGGGATCCCTCCTCAGACAAGCAGGCCTAACAAAAGCTATTCCTGAAGCTAGGATATGGGGAGCCTCAGAAATTGTATCCTTCCTATTCATATAAGTGAGGACAAAAGGCATCACTCTTCCAACTCTGGAAATCCCTTACCTCCCTCAGGGTATGTCCCTCCACTTCATTTTTGGGGCATAACATCTTTATAGGACATGGGTAAAGTCCCAATACTAACAGGAGAACACTTAGGACTCTAATGGGTTTTCGAGAATGCATCGGTAAGGGCCACTAAATCCAATTTTTCTCGATCCTCTTTGTGGTCTAGGAGGACAGGCAAGGGTGCAGGTTTTCGAGAATGTGTCAGTAAGGGCCACTAAATCCGACATTCCTCGTCCTCCTTGGGTCTAGGAGGAAAACTAGTGTTTCTGCTGCTGCATCGGTGAGTGCAACTATTCCAATCAGCATGGTCCAGGGACCGTTGCAGGTTCTTGGGCAGGGGGAAAAATAAACAAACCAAAACCGTGGGCAGTTTTGTCTTTCAGTTGGGAAACACTCAGGCATCAACAGGCTCACCATTGAAATGCACCCTAAGCCATTGGGACCAATTTGACCCACAAACCCTGAAAAAGAGGTGGCTCATTTTTTTCTGCACTATGGCCTGGCCCCAATATTCTCTCTCTGATGGGGAAAAATGGCCACCTGCACCTGAGGGAAGTGTAAATAACAATACTATCCTGCAACTTGACCTTTTCTGTAAGAGGGAAGGCAAAAGGAGTGAAATACCTTATGTCCAAGCTTTCTTTTCATTGAAGGAGAATACACAACTATGCAAAACTTGCAATTTACATCCCACAGGAGGATCTCTCAGCTTACCCCCATATCCTAGCCTCCCTATAGCTCCCCTTCCTATTAATGATAAGCCTCCTCTAATCTCCCCCACCCAGAAGGAAATAAGCAAAGAAATCTCCAAAGGACCACAAAAACCCCTGGGCTGTCAGTTATGTCCCCTTCAAGCTGTAGGGGGAGGGGAATTTGGCCCAATCCAGGTACATGTCCCCTTCTCCCTCTGTGATTTAAAGCAGATCAAGGCAGACCTGGGGAAGTTTTCAGATGATCCTGATAGATACATAGATGTCCTACAGAGTCTAGGGCAAACTTTCTATCTCACTTGGAGAGATGTCATGCTATTGTTAGATCAAACCCTGGCCTTTAATGAAAAGAATGTGGCTTTAGCTGCAGCCTGAGAGTTTGGAGATACCTGGTATCTTAGTCAAGTAAATGATAGCATGACAGCCAAAGAAAGGGACAAATTCCCTACCAGTCAGCAAGCCATCCCCAGTATGGATCCCCACTGGGACCTTGACTCAGATCATGGGGACTGGAGTCTCAAACATCTGTTGACCTGTGTTCTAGAAGAACTAAGAAAAATTAGGACAAAGCCCATGAATTATTCAATGATGTCTACCATAACTCAGGGAAAGGAAGAAAATCCTTCTGCCTTCCTCGAGTGGCTATGGGAGGCTGTAAGAAAATATAATCCCCTGTCACCTGACTCACTAGAGGGTCAATTGATCCTAAAAGATAAGTTTATTACCCAATCAGCCACAGATATCAGGAGAAAGCTCCAAAAGTGAGCCCTGGGCCCTGAATAAAATCTGGAGACATTATTAAACCTGGAAACCTCAGTGTTCTATAATAGGGACCAAGAGGAACAGGCCCAAAAGGAAAAGCGAGATCAGAGAAAGGCCACAGCCTTAGTCATGGCCCTCAGACAAATGAACCTTGGTGGTTCAGAGAAGACAGAAAATGGAGCAGGCCACTCATCCAGTAGGGCTTGTTATCAGGGTGGTTTACAAGGACACTTTAAAAAAGAATGTCCAATGAGAAACAAGCCGCCCCCTCGTCCATGTCCACTACGCCAAGGCAATCGCTGGAAGGCACACTGTCCCAGAGGGCAAAGGTTCTCTGGGCCAGAAGCCCCCAACCAGATGATCTAACAATAGGACTGAGGGTGCCCAGGGCAAATGCCAGCTCACGTCATCACCCTCACTGAGCCCCGGGTATGTATAACCATTGAGTGCCAGGAAATTGACTTCCTCCTGGACACTGGCTTGACTTTCTCAGTGTTAATCTCCTGTCCTGGACAGCTGTCCTCAAGGTCCGTTTCCATCCGAAGAATCCTGGGACAGCCTGTAACCAGGTATTTCTCCCACCTCCTCAGTTGTAATTGGGAGACTTTGCTCTTTTCACATGCATTTCTTGTCATGCCTGAAAGTCCCACACCCTTATTAGGGAGGGATATATGAGCCAAAGCTGGAGCTATTATCTACATGAATATGGGGAACAAGTTACCCATTTGCTGTCCCCTACTTGAGGAGGGAATCAACCCTGAACTCTGGGCATTGGAAGGACAATTTGGAAGGGCAAAAAATGCCCATCCAGTCCAAATCAGGCTAAAAGATCCCACCAGTTTTCCTTATCAAAGGCAATATCCCTTAAGGCCTGAAGCTCATAAAGGATTACAGGATATTGTTAAACATTTAAAAACTCAAGGCTTAGTAAGGAAATGCAGCAGTCCCTGCAATACCCCAATTCTAGAAGTACAAAAACCGAATGGTCAGTGGAGACTAGTGCAAGATCTTAGACTCATCAATGAGGCAGTAATTCCTCTATATCCAGTTGTACCCAACCCCTATACCCTGCTCTTTCAAATACGAGAGGAAGCAAACGGGTCACTGTTCTGGACCTCAAGGATGCCTTCTCCTATATACCCCTGCACTCTGACTCCCAGTTTCTCTTTGCCTTTGAGGATTGCACAGACCACACATCCCAACTTACATGCACCGTCTTGCCCCAAGGGTTTAGGGATAGCCCTCATCTGTTTGTTCAGGTACTGGCCCAAGATCTAGGCCACTTCTCAAGTCCAGGCACTCTGGTCCTTCAGTATGTGGATGATTTACTTTTGGCTACTAGTTCGGAAGCCTCATGCCAGCAGGCTACTCTAGATCTCTTGAACTTTCTAGCTAATCAAGGGTACAAGGCATCTAGGTCGAAGGCCCAGCTTTGCCTACAGCAGGTCAAACATCTAGGCCTAATTTTAGCCAGAGGAACCAGGGCCCTCAGCAAGGAACGAATGCAGCCTATACTGGCTTATCCTCACCCTAAGACATTAAAACAGATGTGGGGGTTCCTTGGAATCACCGGCTTTTGCCAAATATGGATCCCTGGATACAGTGAGATAGCCACGCCCCTGTATACTCTAATCAAGGAGGCCCGGAGGGCAAATACTTATCTAGTAGAATGAGAATGAGGGGCAGAAACAGCCTTCAAAACCTTAAAGCAGGCCCTAGTACAAGCTCCAGCTTTAAGCATTTCCACAGGAAAATACTTCTCTTTATACGTCACAGAGACGGCAGGGATAGCTCTTGGAGTCCTTACTCAGACTCATGGGACAACCCCCCAACCAGTGGCATATGTAAGTAAGGAAATTGATGTAGTAGCAAAAGGCTGGCCTCACTGTTTATGGGTAGTTGCAGCGGTGGCCGTCTTAGTGTCAGAAGCTATCAAAATAATACAAGGAAAGGATCTCACTGTCTGGACCACTCATGATATAAATGGCATACTAGGTGCCAAAGGAAGTTGATGGCTATCAGACAACCGCCTGGTTAGATACCAGGTGCTACTCCTTGAGGGACCAGTGCTTCAAGTGCATACGTGTGTGGCCCTTGACCCTGCCACTTTTCTCCCAGAGGATGGGGAGCCAATCGAGCATGACTGCCAACAAATTATAGTCCAGACTTGTGCCTCCTGAGATGATCTCTTGGAAGTCCCCTTGGCTAATCCTGACCTTAACCTATATACCGTGGAAGTTCATTTGTGGAGAATGAGATACGAAGGACAGGTTATGCCATAGTTAGTGATGTAACCATACTTGAAAGTAAGCCTCTTCCCCCAGGGACTAGTGCCCAGTTAGCAGAACTAGTGGCACTTACCCGAGCCTTAGAACTGGGAAAAGGAAAAGGAATAAATGTGTATACAGGTAGCAAGTATGCTTATCTAATGCTACATTCCCATGCTGCAATATGGAAAGAAAGGGAGTTCCTAACCTCTGGGGGAACCCCCATTAAATACCACAAGGAAATTATGGAGTTATTGCACGCAGTGCAAAAACCCAAGGAGCTGGTAGTCTTACACTGCTGAAGCCATCACAAAGGGGAAGGAGAGGGGAGAACAGCAGCATAAGTGGCTAGCAGAGGCAGGGAAAGACCAGCAGAAAGGAAAGAGAGAAGGAGACAGAAAGTCAGAAAGAGAGAGAGGAAGAGACAAAGACAAAGAGGGAGTCAGAAAGAGAGAGACAAAGAAGTCAAAGAGAAAGAAAGAGAGACAGAAGTAGTAAAGAAAAAACAGTATACCCTATTGCTTTAAAAGCCAGGGTAAATTTAAAACCTGTAATTGATAATTGAAGGTCTTCTCCATGACCCTATAACACTCCAATACCACCTTGTTGTCAGTGCAAACAAGGGCATAGCCTGAAAGCACTGAGGCCACTGACAACCCATAGCCTTTCTATCAAAAATCCTTAACCAAGCAGGTTTCCTAACAGGGGATCTAAATCTTAATTAATTGCCATACAAACGTGTGAGTTGTTTGCACTCAGCCAAATCTTAAAGTACTTACAGAATCAGGAAGGAGCCATCTATACCAATTCTAAGTTAATACGGACTGAAGGAGGTTTTATTAATAGCAAAGAAAAATTAAAATCCCAGACTTACGAGGTTTTCAACAAAAGTAAAGTTTGCTAAAAGTTAACAGTGTAACATATATTATCCTAATATCACACACTCTCAGAGGATTTCTCACACAGTTTGCAAGAAATAACAAAATCTATCCAGTAAGGATAGTAACTACAATCCCAAATAGACTCTTTGGCAGCAGCGACTCTCCAAAACCACTAAGGCCTAGACCTCCTCAATGCTGAGAAAGAAGGACTCTGCTCCTTAGGGGAAGAGTGTTGTTTTTACGCTAACCAGTCAGGGATAGTATGAGATGCCGCCCGGCGTTTACAGGAAAAGGCTTCTGAAATCAAACAACGCCTTTCAAACTCTTATACCAACCTCTGGAGTTGTGCAACATGGCTTCTCCCCTTTCTAGGTCCCATGACAGCCATCCTGCTATTACTCACCTTCGGGCCATATATTTTAACCTCCTTATCAAATTTGTTTCCTCTAGAATTGAGGCCATCAAGCCACAGATGGTCTTACAAATGGAACCCCAAACGAGCTCAACTAACAACTTCTACCAAGGACCCCTGGACCGACCCACTGGCCCTTTCACTGGCCTAAAGAGTTCCCCTCTGGAGGACACTACAACTGCAGGGCTCCTTCTTCACCCCTGTTCAGCAGGAAGTAGCTAGGGCGGTCATTGGCCAATTCCCAACAGCAGTTGGGGTGTCCTGTTTAGAGGGGATTGAGAGGTGAAGCTGGCTGGGCTTCTGGGTCGGGTGGGGACTTGGGGAACTTTTCTGTCTAGCTAAAGTATTGTAAACACACCAATCAGTGCTCTGTGTCTAGCTAAAGGGTTGTAAGCGCACCAATCAGCACTCTGTAAAAACGGACCAATTGGCTCTCTGTAAAATGGACCAATCAGCAGGATGTGGGTGGGGCCAAATAAGGGAATAAAAGCTGGCCACCTGAGCCAGCAGCAGCAACCTGCTCGGGTGCCTTTCCACACCGTGGAAGCTTTGTTCTTTCACTCTTCACAATAAATCTTGCTGCTGCTCACTGTTTGGGTCTGCACTACCTTTATGAGCTGTAACACGCACTTCAAAGGTCTACAGCTTCACTCCTGAAGTCAGCGAGACCACAAACCCACAGGAAGGAACAAACGACTATGGACGTGCCACCTTTAAGAGCTGTAACACTCACTGTGAAGGTCTGTGGCTTCACTCCTGAAGTCAGCAAGACCACGAACCCACCAGAAGGAAGAAACTCTGGACACATCTGAACATCTGAAGGAACAAACTCCAGACACACGATCTTTAAGAACTGTAACACTCACCACGAGGGTCCATGGCTTCATTCTTGAAGTCAGCGAGACCAAGAACCCACAGGAAGGAACCAATTCCGGACACAGTTTCACACTATTTCGTGTACTTCATGCCATAGGTCTCATGTATTTTATCCTTACTCCTTCCAGTCCATTCTCAACATTGGAGCCACGGTGGCCCCTTTAAAACATAAGCCAAATCATGTCCTCTTCTGATCAAAACAGAGGAGGCCTCCTATGTGACTCACAGTTAAAGACCAAAAGTCCTTACCAAAAATGGCTCAAGTTTCTACTGGATCTTGTTCCGCCACCACCACTACACCCCAACCAATTTCTCTTCCACTCACTCACCGCACTTCAGCCATCCCGGATTCCTTGCTTTCCCTTGAAAATGGCAAGCTAGCTTTCATCTTAGAGCCTTTGCACAGTCTGTTTCCTCTACCAGCAATGCTGTTGCCCTGCTATCTTCATGGCTAACTCCATTACCTCCTTCAAATCATCTTGAGTTTCAACTACTTATCAGGACCAACTTTGAACACCTATTTAAAATTTCAACCCACCCACTCTGCACTCTCAATGCCCCTTATTATGACCTACTTCTCATTTTTTTCTATAGCACATATCACCTTCTAATATGAAATACTGTAATATAATACATTATATACTATATATTTCTTTTTTTCTTTTTCTTTCTTTTTTTTTTTTTTAAGACAGGGTCTCACTCTGTTGCCCAGGCTGGAGTGCAGTGGTATGAACATGGCTCACTGTAGTCTCAGCCTCCTGGGCTCAAGTGATCCTCCCACCTCAGCCTCCCAAGTAGCTGGAACTACAGGTGCATACCACCATACCCTGCTAATTTTTATATTTTTTTGTAGAGATGAGGTCTCCCTACGTTGTCCAGGCTGATCTCAAACTCCTGGGCTCAAGCAATCCACCCACCGCAGCCTCTCAAAGTGCTACAATTGTAGGCATGAGCCACCATGCCCAGCCAATTGTATATTTCATATATATTTTATATGTTTATTTGTTTCTTTTTATTTTTATTTTGTTTCTTTTGAGATGGAGTCTGGCTCTGTCGCCCAGGCTGGAGTGCAGTGGCATGATCTCAGCTCACTGTAACCTCCACCTCCCAGGTTCTCACTGCAACCTCTGCGTCCCAGGTTCCAGCAATTCTCCTGCCTCAGCCTCTCAAGTACCTGGGACTACAGGCATGCACCACCACACCTGACTAATTTTTTGTATTTTTGGTAGAGATCGGGTTTCACAGTGTTGGCCAGGCTGGTCTCAAACTCCTGACCTCAAGAGATCTGCCCACTTTCACCTCCCAAATTGCTGGGACTACCTGCATGAACCACAGCGCCCAGCCATAAAAATTTTATTTAAAAAACTATATATTGGGCCAGGTGTGGTGGCTTACGCCTGTAATCCCAGCACGTTGGGAGGCCGAGGCAGGCAGATCATGAGGTCAGGAGATCAAGACCATCCTAGCTAACATGGTGAAACCCCGTCTCCACTAAAAATACAAAAATTAGCCGGGCTCGGTGGCAGGCACCTGTAGTTCCAGCTGCTCAGGAGGCTGAGGCAGGAGACTCACTGGCATGAACCCAGGAGGCGGAGGTTGCAGTGAGCCGAGATTGCACCGCTGCACTCCAGCCTGGGTGACAGAGCAAGACTCTGTCTCAAAAAAAAATAAATAAATAAAAATAAAAATAAAAAAATATATATTTATCATGTACATGTTGTTTTGAAATACGTATGTATCGTACAATGGCTAAATCAAGCCAGTTAACATATTAATTACCTCCCATACTTATTTTCTGTGGTGAGAACACTTAAACTCTACTCTCTTAACAATTTTCAAGAATATGATACATTGTTATTTACTATAGTCACCATGCTGCACAATAGATCTCTTGAACTTATTTCTCCTAACTGAAATTTTGTATCCTTTGACCAGTGTTACTGAAACACTCAGTTCCTGGTTACCGTTATTCTGCTCTCTGCTTCTATTAACGAGTTCAACTTTTTTAGATTCCACATATAAGCAAAATCATGCAGTATTTATCTTTCTGTGCCAGGCTTATTTCATTTGGCATAATGTTCTCCAGGCTCACCCATGATACACACACACACACACACACACACACACACACACACACACACAGAGTTTATCGTTCATTTTCTCCGACTAACTTGTAAGGCTCATAAGAACGGGGATATTTACTAAGAACAGTACCTGACACATAGTAAGCACTCAATAAATATTTGCTATTAAATGAATAATGTAGCATACAATCCATATTTATTATGGAAAAACTTTACGCATGGGAGTTAATAAGCATTTGAATTGTTCCATTATCTATGTAGAGGCCAAGGTGATCCACTTAAACTCCTTCCTCAATATTTAGCATAATGCAAAGATAAAAACTTTTCTTTAACTGTTCTTTAATTGTTTATTATTCATATAAATGCTATTCTCAACTGTTCATTATTCAGATAAATGGTATTGCTGTCAAAGAGGGCACAGTGAGTGAGCAGATCAAGAACAAATCACTGTTAAGTAGGATGCTCAAAGATGATATGCTATAATGATGCTGATTTAGTAGCATCTTGTACAGAAAAGGGAAATACAGGAATTTTGCAATAACGAAGTATAACATTTCCCCTTTAGGTTTCAACTACAAATAAGCTACTTAGAAGTCTGTAGATCATAGGTTTCTGAATCTGGGAAACAGTACTTGCTGGTGAGCAGTAAGGCAGTCAATCTCATTTGGATATAAACAAAAGCAATATTGCTTCTTCCAGACTTAAAACTTGCCATATTTTTCTTTGGATCAGGGGATGTTAAATATTCTCTTTTATTTAAAATAATTTCAAAATTAACTATTTCAGGGCTTTCAAAGAAAAGTTATTGAGAACAGTAGCGTGAATGAGTCTAATGCTACAGTGAGGAGAATGCAAATGAGTGAAGAATACTCCACCTCTCTGAAAGCTAGAAATCTAAGTCAGGCCTAGGAAGTCTATCCTGGCCTGGCAGAAGGGCATATTAGATCTAAAGAATCAGTATGGGGCTATGTTTCTGACTGCAATTTAAAGGGTTTTCAAAAAACAGTATCAAGAATTAGTGTGGGCCAGGCGCGGTGGCTCACGCCTGTAATCTCAGCACTTTGGGAGGCCGAGGCGGGCGGATCACAAGGTCAGGAGTTCGAGACCAGCCTGGCCAGCCTGGTGAAACTCCGTCTCTAATAAAAATACAAAAAATTAGCCAGGCATGGTGGCAAGCGCCTGTAGTCCCATCTACTCAGGAGGCTGAGCCAGGAGAATTTCTTGAACCCGGCAGGCAGAGATTGCAGTGAGCTGAAATCACACCATTGCACTCCAGCCTGGGCCACAAAGCGAGACTCCATCTCAAAAAAAAAAAAAAGAATTAACGTGGTTGGAAATTAAGACCTATTAAGAAACGTCAGAGTCTTGCTCTGTCATCCAGGCTGAAGTGCAGTGGCACGACACATAGCATACTGTAACCTCCAACTCCTGGACTCAAGCAATCCTCCCACCTCAGCCCCCCAAGTAGCTGAGACTATAGATGCACATCACTGTGCCCTACTAATTTTTATTTTATTTTATTTAGTTTTTTTTTTGTAGAGACAGTGTCTCGCTACGTTACCCAGGCTACTCTCAAACTCTTGACCTCAAGTGATCATCCTACCTCAGCCTCCCAAAGTGCTAGGATTATAGGCATAAGCCACTGCACCCTGTCAGAAGATTCATTCATGTCATATTTTACAAGTCACGTATTGTTTACCTATATATTACCTCATTTTGTCATTTTGATCATGACTAAGCTGTCTACCAAATAGGTTAGATAATTTAAAAAATAATAAAAATGAGTTTTTTTAATTTTAAATGAGATGTAAATATCTTTTTGTTTCATTATTTTTACAGACATGACTTCAGATATATTACATTTCAAAATTATTGTTACGGTATAAGGACTATTGCTTTTTATTACATAGGACAGATGGTCCCCAAGTTTAGACAGGGTTGAAGTTAAAGGAAGATGAGACAGCCCTGGCTGGCTATGCCTGGGTGAAGGGCAGTCTGTCCCTGAGACTGTCCACACTCAATTTTGTCGTGTATCCAGAGTTGGTCCAGCTTTCAGGCTTCCTCTTACTAAACAAAAACTCAACAAAGCTGAAAGAAGTATTTCCCCATTGTAATTAATACAATTACTTCCCATTTTATACATATTCAAGGACTTTGTGCTCCAACAAAAGGAGACAAAGAAATACATAATCTCTTTTTTTTGAGAGAGAGAGTCTCACTTTGTCACCCAGGCTGGAGTGCAGTGGCGCGATCTCAATTCACTGCAACTTTCCCCCCCTGGGTTCAAGTGATTCACCTGCTTCAGCCTCCCAAGTAACTGGGACTACAGGCAGGTGCCACCATACCCAGCTAATTTTTGTATTTTCAGTAGAGACGGGGTTTTGCCATGTTGGCCAGGCTGGTCTCGAACTTCTGACCTCAGGTGATCTGCCTGCCTTGGCCTCCAAAGTGCTGGGATTATAGGCGTGAGCCACCATGCCTGGACTTTAATACATTTTAAATGTGAAGATTAAACAGTAAGTACAACTGAAAATTATAACAATTTAAATATTAAATGCAAATCATCAGTCTGTTATCAGTTGTTGGGTAAAATGAATAAAGTATTACAAACAAGCTAAGCTAAATGCTATCTAAAATAAAGAAAATGTAATACATGTATTACAAAAAATAATTTTTTTTCAAAAGTTATTTCTCTAAGTGTGTTGATTGGTTACTATTAGTGAATTTATTTTTGTGCAAATTTTTCCTGCTGCTGGAAAAGCTATTCGTGGTTCTATAATAGCTGGAAAAGAGTACAACAGACAAACCCCAGATGGAGAGGGAGAGGCAACCACCATGAGCTGGAGCTGAGATATTGCCAGGATACACTGAGGGGAAGCTGAAAGAATGCACAGAGAACTGGTTGTCACAGAAGCGGGGGAATAAAAGATGGACCAGGTGAAGCCAAGACACTCTGAAGTGTGGCTGGGCACGGTGGCTCACACCTATAATCCAAGCACTTTGGGAGGCCAAGGCGGGTGGATCATTTGAGGTTAGGAGTTCGAGACCAGCCTGGCCAACATGGTGAAACCCCGTCTCTACTAAAAATACAAAAATTAGCCAGGCATGTTGGTGTGCACCTGTGATCCCAGCTACTCGGGAGGCTGAGGCACGAGAATCACTTGAAACAGGGAGGCAGAGGTTACAGTGAGCTGAGATCGTGCCACTGCACTCCAGCCTGGGCGACAGAGCGAGACTCCATCTCAAAAAGAAAAAAAATTAGGCCCACCCATCAGGAATGAGATTCACATATATCTGCGCAGTCTGACTGGTGGTCCTGGGTAAACTAAAGAGATACTCTTTCCTAGTCCTATGTCTTCCCTAGTCCCATGTCTTCCTGGAAGGATACCATGCCCCAGATTTCCTCTCAGGGCCCAGTAGTACAGAGAGCAGTGACACACAGCTGAACTAGGGAAAATGCAGGCACCTAAAGAGATCCTAGGCGGGAAGTTTAAGGGAGAAGTTAGATTGAATCAGCCTGGCATGGTGACTCACGGCTGTAATCCCAGCACTTTGCGAGGCCAAGGCAGGCAGATCACCAGGTCAGGAGTTCGAGACCAGCCTGGCCAATATGGTGAAACCCCATCTCTACTAAAAATACAAAAATTATCTGGGCGTGATGGCGCATGCCTGTACTCCCAGCTACTTAGAAGGCTAAGGCAGGAGAATTGCTTGAACCCAGGAGGCAGAGGTTGCAGTCAGCTGAGATCGAGCCACTGCACTCCAGCCTGAAGACACAGCGAGACTCCGTCTAAAAAAAAACAACAAAAAATAAACGGAACCTGCCCCACTATCCTTCAACAGTAGATGACATTGACCTCTATGAGGAAAAGGGAGGTAGAAGCTTGGGTTATAATTTGGTGGCAAAGCGTGTGATGGCTTCTGGTTTTACAGGGAGTGGTATAAGCTAAGAAGAAAGATCATCTATAAAGAATAAGGATAGGTGAGTAATGGGGTTGTAGAAGTGAGAAAGATGGAGAAAATCTGAAACCACCCTTGTTGAGAATGAGAAAATGAGCTGACTTTTAAAAACAGTAGGATTTCTGGGAGGCTTGGAGGATCACAATGAGGTTGGTGCCAGTCACTGGCATAGCAGTTTGCCCGGTGGCATGATTCTCAAGCTGTGCTCAGACCCAGGTGCAGGTTCACAAGAGTGGGTCCCTCCCCCCTTGGTAGATTGCTTCTTACTGGTGATCTCAGTCATTAAAATCGCTCAACCGATATAGATTTTTGTGTCTATTTCTCCATCTGTAAAAGGAGAAGGAACAGGAGTATGTGACTGAACAGAGACCTCTGACATGCCAGGATTATGTTTTTGGCAAGTCTGTTTTACAAGGCTATGGGCCTTTAAAGCAATGGACTATGCTTTATTCACTTTTGGGTCCCAAATATCTCACAGTTATGTTGGATAAATGGTCGTGGGATAAATGATGGAATGAATTTTAAAGTCTGTACATTCCTCAGACTTAGTTTGTGACTTTTTTGCTCCTTCAAACTAAGACATTATTAAAAAGTAGGAAAAAAAATTTAAGAACTAGAAAAGCCATTTGTGTTTTATCAGTAAGTGGAGAGGAATAAAATGAAGAATGAGGTAACCTTAAAACCCAACTTAAGCCAAGCGTGGTGGCTCACGCCTGTAATCCCAGCACTTTGGGAGGCCAAGGCAGGCGGATCACCTGAGGTCAGGAGTTCAAGACCAGCTTGGCCAATATGGAGAAACCCCATCTCTACTAAAAATTTTTTTAAAAATTAGCCAGGTGTGGCGCATGCCTATAATCCCAACTACTTGGGAGGATGAGGTAGGAGAATTGCTTGAACCCGGGAGGCGGAGGTTGCGGTGAGCTGAGATCATGCCACTGCACTCCAGCCTGGGCAACAAAAGCAAAACTCCATCTCAAACAAACAAACAAAAAAAAAACGAAAGAAAAAAACTCAAAACACAGCTTTCAATTTATAAGAAAAATAGTTTACAATTTTGAACATTTGGTTGGTATAAATAATTGTATGTGTATTTGTATTCCATTCTGTTCCATGGGGATTTGAAATTGCTTTATGTGTTTGTAGAAAAAATAATACAATTACATAAGAGCCTTGTTTAAAAAGGAGTCATGTGCTTCATAATAATGTTTTGGTCCAGGATGGACAGCATAAACATGGTAGCATACAATGATAGTACCTAAGTTGTTTTTTTTGTTTGTTTTTTGAAATAGGATCTCTCTCTGTAGCCCAGGCTGGAGTACAGTGGCGTGATCACGGCTCACTGCAGCTTAGGCCTCCAGGGCTCAAGTGATCCTCCCACCTCTCAACCTCCCGAGTAGCTGGGACTGCAGGGCTGTGCCACCATGCCCAGCTAATATTTTGTATTTTTTGTAGAGATGGGTGGGGTTTCACCATGTTGCCCATGCTGGTCTCAAACTCCTGGGCTCAAGTGATCTGCCTGCCTCAGCCTCCCTAAATGCCGGGATTACAGGAATGAGCCACCACTCCCAGTCAGTAGTCCTTAAGATTATAAAGAACCTGAAAAATTCCTATCACCCAATGATGTCGTAACCACGGTAAGTTGTAGTGCACTGCATTACTCACATATTTTTGGTGATGCTGGAGAAAAACAAACCTACCAAACTGAGCTGCCAGTTGTATAAAAGTGTAGCACATACAATTATGTACAGTACATAATACTTGATAATGATAAACAACTATGTTACTGGTTTATGTATTTACTATACTGTATTTTTTTTTTGAGATGGAGTTTCGCTCGTTACCCAGGCTGGAGTGCAATGGCGTGAGCTCAGCTGACCACAACCTCCACCTCCCGGGTTCAAGCAATTCTCCCGAGTAGGTGGGATTACAGGCAAGTGCCATCATGCCCAGCTAATTTTGTATTTTTAGTAGAGACGGGGTTTCTCCATTTTGGTCAGGCTGGTCTCAAACTCCCGACCTCAGGTGATCCACCCCCTAGGCCTCCCACAGTGCTGGGATTACACGTGTGAGCCACAGGGCCTGGCCACCATATTTTTATTGTACTCTTTCTATGCTTAGATACACAAGGACTTACCAAGGGTTCAGGATAGTAACATGCTGTACAGGTTTGTAGCTGAGGTGTATAGTAGTCTATATCATCCAGGTTTGTGTAAGTATGTACTATGATGTTGAAACAATGATGAAATCACCCAGCAACACATTTCTCAGAACATGTCCCTGTCGTTAAGCGACCCAACACTGTATTTACAGTGAGTTATTAAATCCCTAAGGATGCCGGGCGCGGTGGTTCATGTCTACAATCCCGCACTTTGGGAGGCCGAGGTTGGTGGATCACCTGAGATTGGGAGTTCCAGACCAGACTTACCAACATGGAGAAACTCTGTCTCTACTAAAAATACAAAATTAGCCGGGCGTGGTGGTGCATGCCTATAATCCCAGCTACTCAGGAGGCTGAGGCAGGAGAATCTCTTGAACCCGGGAGGTGGAGGTTGCGGTGAGCCGAGATTGTGCCACTGCACTCCAGCCTGGGCAACGAGAGCAAAACTCTGTCACAAACAAACAAACAAACAAACACCCTATGGATATTCAGTGGCGGGCTGGGGATTCACAAAACAACAGGATGAATATGGCACATCTTCAAGAAACAACAGCGTTACAATGATTTTCATAGGTGAAGGTGTGGAAGGAGCTGCCTGAGATGTACATTGGAGATGGTTACCATTCTCCTAAAAAGCTACAGCATAAAGAGGCTATGATGTTTATTTTTAAATTTTTATTTATTTATTTATATATTTTGAGATGGAGTCTTGCTCTGTCACCAGCTGGAGTACAGTGGCATGATCTCAACTCACTGCAACCTCTGCCTCTCAGGTTCAAGCGATTCCCCTGCCTCAGCCTCCTGAGTAGCTGGGACTACAGGTGTGCATCACCGCGCCCTGCTATTTTTTTTTGTATTTTAGTAGAGACAGGGTTTCACCATGTTGGCCAGGATGGTGTCATCTCCCTATCTCATGATCCGCCCGCCTCAGCCTCCCAAAGTGCTGGGATTACAGCATGAGCCACCACAGCCAGGCTTTTTTTTTATTATTATTATTTTTTGAGATGGAGTCTTACTCTGTCACCCAGGCTGGAGTGCAGTGGCACAATCTCAGCTCACTGCAACCTCCACCTCCCGGGTTCAAGTGATTCTTCTGCCTCAGCCTCCTGAGTAGCTAGGACTACAGGTGCACGCCACCACACTCAGCTAATTTTTGTATTTTTAGTAGAGATAGGGTTTCACCATATTGGCAAGGCTGGTCTCGAACTCCTGACCTCGTGATCTGCCCACCTCAGCCTCCCACAGTGCTGGGATTACAGGCGTGAGCCACCACGCCCAGCTGATGTTCATGTGTTAACTTTACTGGGCCAAAGGGAGCCCAGGTATTTATTTGGTTAAACATTATTTTGGGTGTGTGTGGGAGGGTGTTTCTGGGTGAGATTAACATTTAAATCACTAGACTGAGTGAAGTACATTATCCTCCATCATGTGGGTGGGCCTTATTGAATAAGTTGAGGATATCAGATGAGATAGGGCACATTCAGGGTGGTATGGCCATAGACGAGGATATCAATACAACAAAAAAGCTGACCCTCCTTTGAATAAGAGAGAATTCTTTTTGCCTGATAGCATTTGTTTGAGCTAAGACATCAGCTCTTCCTGGGTCAAGCACCAGCTAGCCTTCAAACGGGAACTATGGCATTGCCTCCCCTGGTTCTCAGCTATTCCGACTCAGACCAGAAGTAAACCATCAGCTCTGCTGGGTCTGCACCTTGCAGACTCACCCTGCAGATCTTGGAACTTACCAGCCTCCATAATTATGTGGGCCAGTTTCTTATTTCATATACACATACATATATATATATTTCATTACAGACGTATAGACATTATATATATATATATATATATATATATATATATATATATATATATAATGTCTATATATATAATGTCTCCTGTTGGTTCTGTTTCTCTGCAGAATGCTGACTAAAACCCAGGCTAAGAACTTTAGTATTTGGCCTGTTGATTTAGAAATAACTTCCTTCCCAATGTCTTCACAAGTATCTGCTAACCTTGGTAAACAAAATTATAATCACTTCATTTCCTAAAAGCTTCAAATTGAAATTGACATAAAAATAAATTATAGAATGCAGGTGGTGGGTAAATTAATTCTCCCTGTATAATTCTTTCTATTTTTCTGTGTGTTTGATAATTTTTATAACAAAATATTTGGAAAAAGAAATTGCTGGCCAGGCACAGTGGCTCACGCCTGTAATCCCAGCACTTTGGGAGGCCGAGGCGGGCGGAACACCTGAGGTCGGGAATTCGAGACCAGCCTGACCAACATGGATAAACCCCGTCTCTACTAAAAATACAAAATTAACTGGGCGTGGTGGCGCATGCCTGTAATCCCTCCTACTCCAGAGGCTGAGGCAAAAGAATTGCTTGAACCCAGGAGGCGGAGGTTGCAGTGAGCTAAGATTGACACCACTGCACTCCAGCCTGGGCAACAAGAGCGAAACTCCGTCTCAAAAAAAAAAAAAAAAAAAAGAAAGAAAGAAAAGAAAAGAAATTGCTTTGAAGTACATAGGTTATGACAAAAAATCTCTAATATTAAAGAGAAAAGATATTTATAAAATAGAATAAACTGATACAACCTCACTAGGATTTTAAATAAATGTAGTTTAATTCAAATCCCCCCAATTCCAAAATGGCAGTAACAAGACAAAAATAGAGCAGTGTGAAGTTTTCTATAACTTCACTGCTCCTTTCAAATACCCTACTCAAAACCTACCCCTTCTCTCTTTCTGCAAATGGCCTTTCTTCTGCTCTGAGAAGAGTGATACCATCAGGCATGAAATGCTCCACTGTCAAGCCAGGCGCAATGGCTCATGCCTGTAATCCCAGCACTTTGGGAGGCCGAGGTAGGTGGATCACTAGGTCAGGAGATGGAGACCATCCTGGCCAACATGGTGAAACCCTGTCTCTACTAAAAATACAAAACTTAGCTGGGCATGGTGGCACGTGTCTGCAATCCCAGTTACTCGGAAGGCTGAGGCAGGAGAATTGCTTGAACCAGGGAGTTGGAGGTGAGCCGAGATCATGCCACTACACTCCAGCCTGGTGACAGAGTGAGACTCCGTCTCAAAACAAAACAAAACAAAATTAGCTGGGCGTGGTTGCGGGCGACTCTAATCCCAGCTACCTGGGAGGCTGACTCAGAAGAATTGCTTGAGCCCAGGAGGTGGAGGTTGAAGTGAGCCGAGATCACACCACTGCACTCCAGCCTGGGCAACAGAGCAAGACTCCACTTCAAAAAAAATAAAAAAATTAAAATTAAAAATTAAAAAAAGAGAAATGCTCCACTGTCCAACATGGTTACCTAGAAACTTATTGGTAGGTGTCCCCTTTTTAGTTTTCTCTAGTCTCAGGGGAGGAGGTATACTGCCTCCTATTCCAACCAATCTAGTCACTTTGTCCCTATTCCCTCCTCATTCTCCAAAATCTTGTTCTATCACTTAGTCCTCTGTTCTTGTTTCTTGGGCCCCTTTCTCATTACCAGTTTCTTTCCCTACAATATTTATGAAATGCCTAACAATCCTCTTCTCCAAAATACTCTTCCTTTGTCTCAGATCCACACGATAACTATTTTATGGAGATTCCTGTCTAGAAGATTCTGGGCATTCCTTAGGTAATACCACTCAGAGTGCTGGTCTGTGAACTGTTTGTTACTAGTCAGACTGAGATAAAGAGCTTTCATTAGAGTGTAAAGCAACTATGTCAGTAAGTATGCAGTTTCATTTACCTGGCTTTTTTTTTTTTTTTAAGTAAGACTTCCTCAATGAAAGAAGCAGTGTGTGGATTTACATTCTGGCATTGGTCTCTTATCTCACTGTGGACTGGTAATGAATAGTTTGTGGACTGGTACCTGTCTGTGAACTAGCTTGTTTGTGGACTACATTTTGAGTAACACTGACTAGAGTAACACTAAAGCAACTCCCTATATCCCCACACCAATATCCTACCCTAGTTAAATGAGGCTAGAGAGAGAACTATCAGAATTATTTTTGTTTGGTGCTCAGTTGATGCTTCTAAGATGCAGATCATGTGTGTCTGTCTGAATCAGTTTTTGTCTAGGGCATTGTTTTTCAAACTACAGATCTTGAAGGGTTGTGAAATCAGTGCAGTGAGGGTTAACCAGCAAAATAATATAAAGTAAAATAGAAAATATTTTAAGGCATCACAAACCACTTGTTAAAAATTGTTTTGTGAAACTTTTGATTCAGTTATATTTATATTTTTGATAGATTAGATTATTGTTCAGAGGGATTCATTTCTCACCTCCATGGGTGGAGTATACTTTTCTGCCCCTGAACATTGGGCTTCCTATATGACTTGCTTTAGCCAATGGAATGATAGCAGATGTGACATGATCAAAGGTTTGAAGAGTAGTTGTGCAACTGGGCTTACTCTTTTGCACTTCTACCATTTCCATGAGAAAAATATGCCCAGGCTAGTCTGCAGGTATCAATAATAGGATAAGAGGTATGTGGGGCAGAGCCACCTGAGCTGAACTACCTAGCCAGCCTCAGCTTATGTTAGCCAACCACCAACTACCCTCAGATACATGAGCAGCCAAGATCAGCAGTGCCACCTAACTGAGGCCAGCATAGATTGGCTGGCCCTAACTAACCCATAACAATTGAGTGGAAATTAATGCTTATTGTTATAACCTCTGCTTTTCTTAACCTATTTCAAGATATGTTTCTGTCTCTCGCAAATTAAGCAGCAAGTTCTTATTAATACAATAGTATTAGGGACATGGATGAAGCTGGAAACCATCATTCTGAGCAAACTATCGCAAGGACAGAAAACCAAACACCGCATGTTCTTATTCATAGGTGGGAATTGAACAATGAGAACACTTGGACACAGGGCAGGGAACATCACACACCGGGGCCTGTCGTGGGGTCGGGGTGGGGGAGGGATAGCATTAAGAGAAATACCTAATGTAAATGCGAGTTAATGTGTGCAGCACACCAATATGGCACATGAATACATATGTAACAAACCTGCACGTTGTGCACATGTACCCTAGAACTTAAAGGATAATTTTAAAAAATAAGAATAAAAAAATACAATAGTGTTTATAGGGCGGGCGCGGTGGCTCACACCTGTAATCCCAGCACTTCGGGAAGCGAGGCACGCAGATCACCTGAGGTCAGGAGTTTGAGACCAGCCTGGCCGACATGGTGAAACCCCATCTCTACTTAAAAATACAAAAATTAGCCGGGCATGGTGGCAGGCACCTATAATCCCATCTAGTCAGGAGACTGAGGCAGGAGAATCGCTGGAACCTGGGAGGGGGAGGTTGCAGTGAGCTGAGATTGCACCATTGCACTCCAGCCCGGGGGACAAGAGCAATACTTAGTCTCAAAAAAACAAAAAACAGTATTTATAAATAGTATTAAGCCCTGGTGTTCACACTGACATATTTTATTCATTCTATTTATAATCCATCTCCTCAGGCTGGGTGTGGTGGCTCATGCCTGTAATCCCAGCATTTTGGGAGATCAAGGCAGGCGGATCACGAGGTCAAGACATCAAGACCATCCTAGCCAACATGGTGAAACCCCATCTCTACTAAAAGTACAAATTAGCTGAGCATAATGGCGCTTGCCTGTATTCCCAGCTACTCGGGAGGCTGAGGCAGGAGAATCGCTTGAACCCGGGAGGTGGAGGTTGCAGTGAGCTGAGATCGCAACGCTGCACTCCAGACTGACTCTGTCTCAAAAAAAACCGAGCAAGACTCTGTCTCAAAAAAAAAACAAAAAATTCCATCTCCTCACAGTGTTCCTAGCTTAAATGCTATATAAAGTTATATATTAGAAGCAAAGGTAAGAATTTTCCCCCACAATTTAATTCAACTTAATACTTTCTGGCAGAGTGCGGTGGCTCATGTCTGTGATGCTAGCACTCTGGGAGGCCAAGGAGGGCAAATCGCCTGAGGTCAGGAGTTTGAGACCAGCCTGGCCAACATGGCAAAACCCCGTCTCTACTAAAAATACAAAAAATTAGCCAGGTGTGGTGGTGCATGCCTGCAGTCCCAGCTACTCAGGAGGTTGAGGCAGAAGAATTGCTTGAACCCCAGAGGCAGAGGCTGCAGTGAGCCGAGATCATACCGCTGCACTCCAGCCTGGGTGACAGAGCTAGACTCCGTCTAAAAATAAATAAATAAATAAATAAATAAATAAATAAATAAATAAATAAATCAACTTAATACTTTCCTATCGCACTCATTATGATTACACTTCAGTCTATAAAATATTAGATCCTTCACAGAGGCTTCAAATATGTCACAACTGAAAAGCTGTGTTTTCAAAATGCAATTCATAGCTCAGAAGTAATGGGAAGTAATTTCTAATAACTGTCGGAAATGTATAATTCCCATTATTATGAACTTGATACTTACTATGTTTTTGATACTCCATCCAAGAGGGCTGTCCATTGGGTGAGAGGTCACAGTAGTAGAGCTATGAGGTGCATCACCCCCTGTATGGGCTAAGGGACAGTGGAAGAGGTAAAGTTTGAGCTGTATCTCTCATATCAAGGAGCATCTCTCATACAGGTGGAGGATTCTAGAGGGACTTCCAATAACCAACAAAAATATCCCATGCATTTGGGTCTGCTATACCCAGTGAGTGTTACTCAGAGAAACAGCAGTAATCAACAGCATAAAGACTACAACCTGGTTATAGATGGTGAAGTATTAATAAGGAGACAATCTCCCTGCTTCCTCCTCCTCAGACCAGATCAGAGCTGTAAGTACTGAGGGAAGAGAGTGAAGGGCACGGCATGAAGGCCAGGTCCTGAGAGCCACAAATTTGGTTTATGCTGAATGGAATGACATTGTTCTGACAACCAAAATAATGGAATAAGATCAAAGTATATCTAAGAGAGCCCTATATGCAGGGGTGGTGGGGAAGGTGGTGGTGCGTGTATGTGCATGTGTGTGTGGTGTGCCAAAGATTGCAACAGTTACTTTTTCTCATGCCTGTAATCCCAACATTTTGGGAGGTGGAGGCGGGAGGACCATTTGAGTCCAGGAGTTTGAAACCAGCCTAGGCAACATAGCAAGACTCTATCTCTACAAAAAAAATTAAAAATTAGCAGAGCATGGTGACACATGCCTGTAGTCCCAGCTACTGGATAAGCTGAGGCGGGAGAATCACTTGAGCCCAGGAGTTTGAGGCTGCATTGACCCATGATCATGCCCCAGTACTCTAGCCTGGGCAATACAGCAGGACTCTGTCAATCAATTTATCTTCTTTTTGTCCTAATAAGATTCTCCAGGGGACCCGTTTCTTTTTATTGTTATCTACAGGAATATTCCTGTCTAAATAAGAGACCACTGTATAGATTCAGGGTGCCATCTCCTTCGCCAATTCTGGAGAAGCTTTGACGTTATTTCTAATGTCTATATTTAATACTACTAATAATAATTAACATACTATCAATAATTAACATTAATGACTGTTTCTGTCATTATGCCAAATTTATAGATTATTCTACACATTATATTTAGATTACTACCTCCAATCTCCAAGAAAGTATTTTAGGGCCGGGCACGGTGGCTCACGCCTGTAATCCCAACACTTTGGGAAGACAAGGCTGGCGAATCACAAGGTCAGGAGATTGAGACCATCCTGGCTAACACGGTGAAACCTCGTCTCTACTAAAAATACAAAAATTAGCTGGGCGTGGTGGCACGCACCGGTAGTCCCAGCTCCTCAGGAGGCTGAGGCAGGAGAATCGCTTGAACCCAGGAGCCGGAGGTTACAATGAGCCAAGACCGTACCACTGCACTCCAGCCTGGTGACAGAGCGAGAATCCGTATCAAAAAAAAGAAAAAGAAAGTATTTTAGGAGCCTTCTAATCTCATGAGCAGCAAATTTCTGAAACATTTTATTTTCTAGGATTATTTCCACAAATCAATTTAATGTTACTTTGTTTCCATTTTAGTGGTTGATATATCTAATTTTATCCCCAGATCTTCAGATTACCTCATAATTTGGATCCCAGAGATCTCTACAGACTGATTTTAATGAATATATTCCTTAAAAGTCTTTTTAAACAGAAAAAGGTTGTGAATTCTATTTTATAATTTGTGAAACAAAGAAGAGAATGTGGCAGGGCATGGTGGCTCACGCCTGTAATCCCAACAATTTGGGAGGCCGAGGCAGGTGGATCACCTGAGGTCAGGAGTTCGAGACCAGCGCGGCTAACATGGCGAAATCCCGTTTCTACTAAAAATACAAAAATTAGTGGGGTGCAGTGGCGCGTGCCTGTAATCCCAGCTATTCAGGAGGCTGAAGCTGGAGAGTCTCTTGAACCTGGGAGGTGGAGGTTGCAGTGAGCCAAGATGGCGCCACTGCACTCCCAACTGGGCAACAGAGTGAGACCATGTCTCAAAAAAAGAAAAAAAGAAAAGACGAGAATGTGTTAGTAAAGAATACAGCATATTGAGGCAGACTTAAAATGCAAACTTTAGCACGCCTGTAATCCCAGATAGGACGCTGACGCAGGAGTATCTACTTGAACCTGGGAGGCAGCGGTTTCAGTGAGCCGAGATCGCGCCACTGCACTTCAGCCTGAGCGACAGAGCGAAACTCGGTCTCAAAAATAAATAAGTAAATAAATAAACAAAATAAAAATAAATAAATAAAACGTAAACTTTAAAGTTTTCACTGTCTACTCTTTTTATTTAGCCAAATAAATCCTTATAAAATCATATAACAGGAAGAAATTTACATACCTTCTAACTTGCCTGTTTAAAAGACCGTATAAATATTAAATAGAATTCTTCCAGACGAGTAAATGTCTATATTATTGTGAACCCTGAAAATATGAGACAGGTCTCAGTTAATTTATAAAGTTTATCTTGCCAAGGTTGAAGACGCGCACCCATGCGCACGGAGGTTCTGACAACAGATGCCCAAGATGATCAGAGCATGTTTGATTTTACACATCTTAGGGAGACGTGAGACATCAACATGAACATTGGTTTGGTCCGGAAAAGGCGGGACAACTCAAAGCAAAGGCAGGACAACTTGAAGTGGGGAGGGGGCTTCCAGGTCATAGGCAGATAAGAGACAAATGGTTGCATTCTTTTGAGTTTCTGATTACCCTTTCCAAAGGAGGCAATCAGACATGCATCTCAGTGAACAGAAGGGAGACTTTGAATAGAATGGGAAGCAGGTTTTCCCTAACCGGTTCCCAGCTTGACTTTTCCCTTTAGCTTAGTGATTTTGGGGCCCCAAGATTTACTTTCCTTTCACATTATTTTAGGAGATAGAGAGGTTTCATAGTTTCCTGTTCACAAATAACTCTAAGATTTTAAAAAATATATAGAAAATGTTCTTTTTTTCTTTTTTTTTTTTTTTTTTTGAGACGGAGTCTCACTCTGTCTCCCAGGCTGGAGTGCAGTGGTGCAATCTCGGCTCACTGCAAACTCTGCCTCCCAGGTTCAAACCATTCTCCTGCCTCAGCCTCCCGAGTAGCTGGGACTACACGCGCCCCCCACCATGCCCGGCTAATTTTTTTTGTATTTTTAGTAGAGACGGGGTTTCACCATGTTAGCCAGGATGGTCTCGATCTCCTGACCTCGTGATCCGCCTGCCTCGGCCTCCCAAAGTGCTGGGATTACAGACGTGAGCCACCGCGCCTGGCCAGAAAATGTTTTTTATTTTCAACTGCAGTATTCTTTCATTAAACAGACATTGAGAATTTACTCTGAACTAGACATTTTACCTGATGCTGAGGATATAAATTAAGATTCTGTTCCTGCCCTTAAATAGAAATTCAGTTTACTACAGGTGCAAATGCCCACATATGAGACATTTAATACATTCAGTAAGAAAGTTAGAATTCAGGAAGTTCCCAAAATGTTCAGATAAGCTAAAACAAGCCAGGTGACATTAAATAGCAATACATTTATACACACTCAGGAGGGAAAAAAAGGAAAGTAAAAAGCCTGCTGGAGTATAAATGGGGAGAGCTCAGGCTAAATAACTACAGATGTAAAAAAGACCCAGGGGATGCAGATGACACCAAATTTAGTAACCATGTGCACTTGTTGCCAAGAAAGCTAATTTTATGATGGATTAATAAAAATATGCAAAGTCCCCAAAATATTTCCAATTGATTTTGCATCAATCAGATCTCACAGAAGGCAGGGGGTTATCTTATTTGAAGTACAAATTAGAACATTTTCATGAGACAATCAAAAAGGTGAAGGATCTGAAAACAATATCAGTGAAGATTTGTCAAAGGGAATAATGATGTTTAGTCTGTAAAAGAAGCTTAAGTGGGACTTGATTGCTGTTTTTAAGTCTTTAAAGAGCTAGTGTGACAGAGATTGCTAGCTGCTTTTCAGTACTCATTTCCTTTGTAGTCCTTAGCAATGGAACCCTGCTTTTTAGTGGGGCACTTTGAAATTTCCCAACCTCCTTTGAGATTAGATGGATCATGTGACTAGGCTGTGGATGTTGATATATCAGCATAAGTGGTTTGCAAGACTGCCGGGAAGTCTCCTTAATGAGAGGGGTGTGCTCTTTGGCTTTTACTCCTTTGTTCTGCTGCATGTAGCAGGGTCCTGACTGGCACTCTAGCAGCTATTCTGGATTGCAAGGGCAAAAGTTATGCTCCAGGAACAGTGGAGGGCAAAATGGAAGAAGTCTGGATTCCTCACCAGTTCATTGCAGTTGTCATGTCAGCCCAATATTGCCTACCTCTGTACGTCTTTTACATGAAAAGAAATAAAATTTCATTTTGTTTAAGACACTGCTGTTTGGGGTTTCTTTTGTATGTAGTTGAACTTTGGGTACAAAAAAAAACACATATGTTTTCTAAGACTTAAACATTTTTATTTTTGGCCAGGCGCGGTGGCTCACGACTGTAATCCCAGCATTTTGGGAGGCCGAGGTGGGCAGATCACAAGGTCAGGAGTTCAAGACCAGCCTGACCAACATGGTGAAACCCTGTCTCTACTAAAAATACAAAAATTAGCCGGCTGTGGTGGCGCATGCCTGTAGTCCCAGCTACTCGGGAGGCTGAGGCAGGAGAATCGCTTGAACCCAGGAGGCGGAGGTTGCAGTGAGCCAAGATCACACCACTGCACTCCAGCCTGGGTGACAGAGCAAGACTCTGTCTAAAAAAAAAAAAAGGACTTAAACATTTTCAAAAATGAAATGATCAGCCGGGCACAGCAGCTCACACAGTGGCTCACACAGTGGAACTTCGGGAGGCCGAGGCAGGCGGATCACCTGAGGTCAGGAGATAGAGACCATCCTGGCTAACATGGCAAAACCCCATCTCTTCTAAAAACACAAAAATTAGCTGGGCGTGGTGGCACACGCCTGTAATCCCAGCTACTCGGGAGGCTGAGGCAGGAGAATCGCTTGAACCTGGGAGGCAGAGGTTGCAGTGAACCGAGATCGCGCCACTGCACTCCAGCCTGGGGGACAAGAGTGAGACTCTGTCTCAAAAAAAAAAAAGAAAGAAAGAAAGAAAGAAAGAAATGATCTACTCTGTGATGCAGTTATCTATCTCTGTATCTGTTTAAATGGAGATATTCAAATGAAGATCTGTTTAAACTTCTAGTTTCAGAAATGGTGACTATTCCAGGAGGTGAAGATAAAGAAGGTTACCAGACCTCTAAAGTTCCTGTCAGCTCTTAAGATTACATGATTTCTCTGGCTGTGGGGATCAGTAGCTCTAAAAAAATTAATTAAAATTAAAAATTTAAAATTTAAAAAATTACAGTTCCTTCTCCCTATTATGTTTGTGTCCAACTTGAGCTGGCTTAATGTTAGGCAGTCCCCTGGCCATGCTGCTCAGGATCACTTGATTCTATTTTGGAGTTAAACTTATTCTAAGACCAACACTTCTAAAGTAATAATTAGGCTGCATGATGTGGGTCACACCTGTAACCCCAGCACTTTGGGAGGCCGAGGAGAGAGGATCACTTGAGGCCAGGTATTTATCAAGACAGGGAAATTGCAATGGAGAAAACGTAATGATCGCAGAGCCAGCAGTGTGGGAGACTGGAATCTTATTATTACTCAAATCAGTCTTTAAAGACAATTTGTGGGGTAGGGGCTTGGGAAGTGGGGAGTGCTGATTGGTCAGGTTGGAGATGTAATCGTAGGGGAGGGCCAAGTGAGTTTTTCTTGCTGTCTTCTGTTCCTAGGTAGGATGGCAGAACTGGTTGAGCCAGATTACCAGTATGGGTGGTGTCAGCTGATCCATCCAGTGCAGGGTCTGCAAAATATCTCAAGCACTGATGTTAGGTTTTACAATAGTGATGTTATCCCCAGGAGCAATTTGGGGAGGTTCAGACTCTTGGAGCCAGAAGCTGCATGGCCCCTAAACCCTAATTTCTAACCTTGTAGCTAATTTGTTAGTCCTGCAAAGGCAGACTGGTCCCCAGGCAAAAAAGGACTATTATCAATTTCGTTTCGGAGTCAAACCATGAACTGAATTCCTTCCCAAAGTTAGTTCCACCTACGCCCACGAATGAACAAGGACAGCTTAAATGTTAGAAGGAAGGTGGAATTGATTAGGTCTGATCTCTTTCACTGTCATAATTTCCTCAGTTATAATGTTTGCAAAGTTGGTTTCAAGACAAGCCTGAGCAACATGCAAGACCCTGTTGCTGCAAAAAAAAAATTTTACAAATTAGCTTGGTGTGGTGGTGCACACCTGTAGTCGTAGCTACTCAGGAAGGAGGCTGAAGCAGGAGGATTGCTTGAGCTTAGGAATTTGGGGTGGTAGTCAACTATGATCATGCCACTGCACGCCAGCCTGGGTGACAGAGCAAGATCCAAGATCAGTCTCAAAAAAAAAAAAAAAAAAGTAATAATGAAGGAAAACCAAAGAACACATCAATGAACTCTTCAGCATAACTAGTAGCATAAAGAAAATCATAATTAACCTGAATAATATGAATAAAACAGGAGTTCAATTGAGGCCTTTCCTACGTGCCTAGTACAGCTGGTGAATCAAGGTATAGTCCACAATGACTACCCTGCTGAATTTTTTTTTTATTTTTTAAAATGAGAATACTAACACCCCATCCTCTTTCCATCTTGCCTCTTCCATTCTACTTTCTAACTTCAATTAGTTATAACTTTACTTTTATGTTAATTTTTTTACTATAAATATCTGTGTTTTGTCTATTAGTTGATTCTTTAAACACTTATTCCTTGAAACAGTAACACCTATACATGGTAAGAGTCCAACCATGCAAAAAAATACAGAGGAAGATAAAGTCCCCCTTTCCATCCCAGACTGTGACACCTCTTCCTCAGAGAGAACCGGTTTTGATGTACTCTTTCAAAAATATTCTGAGGCTGGGTGCGGTGGCTCACACCTGTAATCCCAGCACTTTGGGAGGCCAAGGTGGGAGGATCATCTGAGGTCAGGAGTTCGAGATCAGTCTGGCCAACATGGTGAAACCCCTGTCTCTACTAAAAAAATACAGAAATTAGCCGGGCATGCCAGCTACTCAGAAGGCTGACGCAGCAGAATCACTTGAACCCAGGAGGTGAAGGTTGCAGTGAGCTGAGATTTTATCACTGCACTCCAGACTGGGCAATAAGACTGAAACTCTGTGCAGGCCCCAATTACTTACTCTTTACTCTTTTTTTTTTTTAACATAAAGTTGCAGCTTTAAACATCCATCTGATAACGGGGGGAAACGATAATAGTGGAGAAATAGCATTTGTACTTCAACTTTAAAATGTTAGATATATATGCTGGGCGTGGTGGCTCACACCTTTACACTTTGGGAGGCCAAGGCGAGTGGATCACCTGAGGTCAGGAGTTCGAGACCAGCCTGAACTATGTGGTGAAACCCCATCTCTACTAAAAATACAAAAATTGGCCAGGTGTGGTTGTGTGCTCCTGTAGTCCCAGCTACTTCAGGAGGCTGAGATGGGAGAATTGCTTGAACCTGGGAGGTGGAGGTTGCAGTGAGCCAAGATCGAACCACTGCACTCAGCCTGGGCAACGGAGCAAGATTCCGTCTCAATAAATAAATAAATAAATAAATAAATAAATAAATAAAATGTTAGATATATACATCTTGTTGGCTGTATCTCTATAGTCACTTTGCTTCAAGACACTACGTGTTGTCACGTGCGTGTGTGTGTGTGTGTGTGTGTGTTCCTTTCCTTATCCATATGAGTACTTTTCTGGAGTAGGCTCACATTTTTTGTTCCTATTTCCTTCCTCCACTTCTCAATCCACTGCAGCTTGGCTTTTCAGCCCATTAATCCCAGTAAAATTGCTTTTACCAGAATCATTCATGACCTCTTACTTGCATAAGCATTTAAGTCTTATCTCTCTTGGCCTGGTGACCCTGTTTCTCTTTGCATCTCTCTATACCCCTGGTTTCAGTAAAGCACAGTCTCCTAGTTCTCTTCCTATTTCTCAATTCCTTTTCACTCTCTTTCATGGATTTTTTTTTTTCTTCTTTTACACTCTTTAATATTGGTGTTCCCTTGCTTTTCATTCTCAGCTCATTATACTTTTCATCTTGTATGCTCTTCTTGTGTGACTTAGTTAGGTCTTTCTATGGTCTGAATGTATGTGTTCCCCCAAAATTCATATGTTGGAACTTAGTACCCACTGTGATTGTATTAAGAGGTGGGGCCTTTTGGGAAACTATTAAGGCATGAGTGGGGTTAGTGCCCTTATAAAAGATGTTGAAGGGAACTGCCTTGCCTCTTCTGCCTTGTGAGGACACAGCAACAAGGCAACATCTATGAAGCAGAGAATGCTCCCCAGACACCAAATCTGCTGATTCCCTGATCTTGGACTTGCCAGCCTCCAGAACTGTGAGAAATAAGTTTCTATTGTTTGTAAATGACCCAGTCTAAGGTATTTTGTTATGCAGCCTGAATGGACTAAGACAGGTCTTACAACCTTGGTTAGCTACAACCAATCACTAGCAACTCCTCTCTCTCCAGTGCTGATATTAATTTTATATCCAACTGCATATTGGATATCTCACTATGGAGTACCCAATATATCCAGAAATAAATTCATTCTTTTTTTTTTTTTTTTTGAGACAGAGTTTAGCTCTTGTTACCCAGGCTAGAGTGCAATGGCACCATCTTGGCTCACCGCAACCTCTGCCTCCTGGGTTCAAGTGATTCTCCTGCCTCAGCATCCCAAGTAGCTGGCATTACAGGCATGCACCACCATGCCCAGCTAATTTTGTTTAGTAGAGATGGGGTTTCTCCATGTTGGTCAGGCTGGTCTCGAACTCCCAACCTCAGGTGATCTGTCTGCCTTGGCCTCCCAAAGTGCTGGGATTACAGGCGTGAGCCACTGCACCCGGCGACTCATCCTTCTTGTCCCATAAAATGGCAAGTCTTCAGTATTCATCATCTCAGTTGTTGACACAATCATCTATCCAGACACCCAAGCCAAAATCCTTGTATCAGATTAAATTCATCCCTTCCTTTTGTCTTTCTATATTCAGTTCGTCCCCAGATTTTGCTAATTTTAGCTACTAAATATTTTTATCTGTCCCTGCCTCTAGCCTTGCTACCACTGCTGTAATTTAAGCCTCATCATTTCTTGATTACTTCAATAGTGTCCTTTTTTTTGAGGGTGGGGGTACAAATTCTATTCCATCTAAAATACCAATTGGACCCAATCTCCTGCTTAGATCTCTCTGATCCTGTTTCATTATCTGTAAATTGCCTAACCCTTTCGAATGCTATAAAAGACTTAATGTGATTCAGAACTTGCCTAACTCTGAGTTCACTTCATATTCTAGGAATACAAAACCGTTTTTAGTTGTCTGACATAACATCTTAATTCAATATTCTTTGCCTTTCCCATACTATTTTCTGTATCTGGAATGCTCATATTTTCCTTTATAAATAGTGCTTTTTTTTTGAGATGGAGTCTTGCTCTGTCACCCAGGCTGGAGTGCAGTGGCATGGTCTCAGCTCACTGCAACCTCCACCTCCTGGGTTTAAGTGATTCTCCTGCCTCAGCCTCCTGAGGAGCTGGGACTACAGGTGCGTGCCACCATACCCAGCTAATTTTTGTATTTTTAGTAAAGACAGGGTTTCACCATGTTGGCCAGGATGGTCTGAATCTCCTGACCTCGTGATCCCGCCCGCCTCGGCCTCCCAAAGTGCTGGGATTACTGGTGTGAGCAACCACGACCGGCATAAACAGTGCTTTCTCTATCCTGTTTAAGAAATGTTTGACTACCTGAAATTATAAAAGTGTTATTGTTTTACCTTTTACATTGAGGTCCACAACGTATTTTGATTTTTTTTTTCAGTATGAGTAGGCATCAAGGTTACTTTCTTTCCACATGATATGCATTGCCCCAGCATTACTTATTGACATGTCAAGTTTTCTCCACATTACTACAGTGTCACCTTTACATAAATAAAATGTTCACATAAGCATCTGTTTGGGAACTCTATTCGATCCATTTTTCTATTTTCTATCCTTACGCCAGTACCACAATAATTTTTATAGATGCTTTAGCAGTAATATCTGGGGGTATAAATCCTCCAACTTTGTTCTTTTTCTAGATTGTCTTGGTTGTTCTTGACCTTCCCAATTTCCATATAAATTTTGGAATCAGCTTGCAATTTAATACACACACACACACACACACACACACACACACACACTCACACCCTGCTGGTATTCTAGTAGAGATTAGCCTAAATCTACTAAATCAATTTGGGTAGAGCAGTATCTTTAGGATATCTAGTCTTCCAGGCCGGGCGCCGTGGCTCATGCCTGTAATCCCAGCACTTTGGGAGGCCGAAGCGGGTGGATCATAAGGTCAGGAGTTCGAGACCAGCCTGACCAACATGGTGAAATCCCATCTCTAGGCCGGGTATGACGGCACATGCCTGTAATCCCAGCACTTTGGGAGGCCGAGGCGGGTGGATTACTTGAGGTCAGGAGTTCGACACCAGCCTGGCCAACATGGTGAAACCCTGTCTCTACTAAAAATACAAAAATCAGTCGGGCATGATGGCAGGCACCTGTAATCCCAGCTACTTGGGAGGCTGAGGCAGGAGACTCACTTGAACCCAGGAGGCGGAGGTTACAGTGAGCCAAGATTGTGCCACTGCACTCCAGCCTCGGTGACAGAGCAACACTCTGTCCCAAAAAAAAAAAAAAAAAAAAAAAAAAAAACCATCTCTACTAAAAGTACAAAAATTAGCCGGGCGTGGTGGTGCATGCCTGTAATCCCAGCTACTCAGGAGGCTGAGGCAGGAGAATTGCTTGAACCCAGGAGGCAGAGGTTGCAGTGAGCTGAGATCATGCCACTGCACTCTAGCCTGGGTGACAGAGCAAGACTCAGTCTCAAAAAAAAGAAAAAAAAAAAAAGAGTATCTCGTCTTCCAATCCATGAGTACAGCCATTCATTTGGGTCTTTAATTTTTCTCAATAATATAATTTTCAGTATAGAGTTCTTACACATCTTTCATAAGATTTATTCCTAAGAGTAGTGGGCTGAATCACATCCCCAAAGACATGAGGTGTTAATCCTTGGAACCTATAAGTGTTACCTTATTTGAAAAAAGGGTCTTTGCAGATGTGATTAGGGTAAGGATCTTGAGACAAGGAGATGATCTTGGATTATCCAGGTGGGCCCTAAATATCATCACATTGTCCTTATATAAAAGAGGTAGAGGCTGGAGTGATGTGGCTTCAAGCCAAGAAATGTCAGCAGACATCAGAAACTGGAAAAAGCAAGGAATAGATTCTTACTCAGAGCCTCTGGAGGGAGCACATCTCTGTTGACACCCTGACTTCAGACTTCTGGTCTCCAGAACTGAAAGAATACGTTGTTTTTTTTTTTTTTTTTTTTTTTTTTTTTTGAGACGGAGTCTCGCTCTGTCACCCAGGCTGGAGTGCAGTGGGGCCATCTCAGCTCATTGAAACCTCTGCCTACCAGGTTCAAAGGATTCTCCTGCCTCAGCCTCCTGAGTAGCTGCGACTAGAGACACATGCCACCACGCCTAGCTAATTTTTGTATTTTCAGTAGAGACAGGGTTTCACCATGTTAGCCAGGATGGTCTCCATCTCCTGACCTGGTGATCCGCCCGCCTCAGCCTCCCAAAGTGCTGGGATTACAGGTGTGAGCCACCGCACCTGGCCATAAGTTTGTTTTAAATCACAGAGTTTGTGGTAATTTGTTACAATGGCCATAGGAAACTCAAACACTAGATATTTGAAATTGTTGATGCATTTGTATACCATTTTTAAAAAATTCATTTTCTTTTTTTTTTTTTGAGATGGAGTCTTACTCTGTTTCCCAGGCTGGAGTGCAGTGGCGTGATCTCGGCTCACTGTGAACTCCGCCTCCCAGGTTCAAGCGATTCTCCTGCCTCAGCCTCCCAAGTAACTGGGATTATAGGCGTGCACCACCATGCCTGGCTAATTTTATTTATTTATTTAGAGACAGAGTTTCACTCTTGTTGCCCAGGCTGGAATGCAACAGCATAATCTCAGTTCACTGCAACCTCTGCCTCTCAGGTTCAAGTGATTCTCCTGCCTCAGCCTCCTAAGTAGCTAGGATTACAGGCACCCACCACCACACCTGGATAATTTTTGTATTTTTAGTAGAGACAGGGTTTTACCATGTAGGCCAGGCTGGTCTCGAACTTCTGACCTCAGGTGATACGCCTGCCTCAGCCTCCCAAAGTGGTGGGATTACAGGCATGAGCCACCACGCCTGGCCAAAAACTCATTTTCTAATTGTTTAATGCTAGCACATAAAAATTTAATTGATTTTTATAGCTAACTGTACCCAGCAACTTGCTTAAAATCACTTAATACTAAGTGTGTAGATTATTGTAATTTTATGCATAAAATGATAGACTATCATGCTTTCTCTAGATAACAGGTTTATGTATTTCTTTCCAATCCTTATACATTTTTCCTTGCCTTTATGCATTGCTGGAATCTGTAGTACAATACTGAAGTACATCCTATCTTTTGACTTTATAACTATGAGAAAGTATTCTGTTCCAAATTTAAAATATGCACCTAGTAAAACTTTCAAAAATACAGTAAAAACACCAGCCAAAAAAATAACAGCCTTCTAGTTAAATCCAAAGGCCTTTTCTTAAGCCCTTCTCATGATTCTGCATCAGTGGACACTGTTTATTAACCCTTTTTTTTTTTTTAGTTTTTTTGAGACAGTCTCGCTGTCGCCAGGCTGGAGTGCAGTGGCATGATCTTGGCTCACTGCAATCTCCGCCTCCCGGGTTCAAGCGATTCTCCTGCCTCAGCCTTCTGAGTAGCTGGGATTACAGGAGCCTGCCACCATATCCAGCTAATTATTGTATTTTTAGTAGAGACGGGGTTTCACCATGTCGGCCAGGATGGTCTCGATCTCCTGACCTCATGATCCGCCTACCTCGGCCTCCCAAAGTGCCAGGATTACAGGCGTGGGCCACCGCGCCTGGCCTATCAAGCCATTCTAAAGCATTCTTTCCATGTCCAGCTTCTTCTTTTCCTCTTCTAACCCATTACAGTCAGGCATTTCCAAGATTTCGCCTTAGACCTTTTCTCTTTGTATATTAGTCCTTGTTAGCTATTGGGAAACATTTTAAGGTCCATTATTATTCAGAACCAGGCCAGCTTCAGGTGCTTTCCTTTTCTTCAGGAACAAAACAGAAACCTATTATACTTTCCTGTTTAAAAAATGCCATACTCTCCCCTCGCCCAGGTTCTTCTCCTAACTGTGGAATGCAGTCTTCTCTGCGTCTGCCCTTTTGTGCTGTGCTCGAATGGAATCTTCTCACTTTACTGGTTTTACTAATAAACAGAAGTTACAAAGGTCCCTAAATCTTTCCAACGTTTTGGTTCCTGATCTATATGCAGATTCCCTTCTGCAGGAAACTGCATGGAGTGCCACAACATTGGGTGTTAGAAAGCTGGCTGGCTCAGAGGCCTCAGAGTGAGGAGCATTTGACAGGGTCTAGCTTTTGTGTTACAGGACCAAAGAAGCTGAATCATGTTCATTAGAAACTGCTGCATAAAGACCAACATACCAGTGTATTAATTTGTAATGAAAAATAACGACTGTCAAGGAAAATGGCTATTCATTTCATTTGGCCAGGGCATTCTCTCCTTGTAGGAAAACTATACGGGAATTAAAATAATATTCAGAACTGCATTTATTGAGAAAAGGAACAGAATAAAAGGTCCAGTTTTATGATTCAAATATTTAATGGAATCACATTAAGCTTTAATAGAGAGATGAGACTATCTCTACTACTAGAACCAGATAGTTTTGTACACACACAGGAGACTTTTCACTTCAGAAATATTTACTTCCCAGGGTTTTCTTGGCTCAATTCCTGAGTTAGATATATTATTTCTCTCAGTAAGGTTTGCTCTGGCCAGAGACGTTCATTTCTGGTTTGATCCACTCTGGATTGACCCATAATAGAATTATTACAAGACAGTATTTTCAAGTGTTTGGAGAGTATCTGCTGAACCCCAATACCGCTCAGCATACATCTGCATACTAGAGGCTCACAGTTAAATCCTCACTTATTTCTACTTATTCGTCAGTGGGGGGGAAGAAATCAGAAAAAGAGGAAAAGAAAATCATAAACAGCCCCCAATGCCAGGCAGCCTGGCACGCAGCAGATGCCCTCAAATCTGGTGAAGGAATAAACGCAGTTTCCTACTCCTTTCGCCGAATGCAATTCAGAAAAGCATTACAGAGCACAACTCCTTCCAGGCTGGAAACGCTGCCAGAAAGCAGCTCTCGCTTCACCTCTGCCGGGGGACTCCGCCCTCTCCCCCAGCGCTCCAAGCGGAGACCGCAGGTCAGCAAGAACTGAAAACGCGTCTACTGGGCCAGGTCTCATGTTTATCTTATTTCCCCCTCACTCCACAGCACTCACTCCCCAGCTATTAAAACAGAGAAGAAAAAAAAGGAAAGAAAGATGGTAAGAATAAGACAGTAGGGTTAGGATCGGGGAGAGGGGCTTCAGCAAAAAACAGTTGCATCGCTCAGCCCCGGAAACTCATCCCGTCATCCCCAGACTCTCTCTCGGGAACTGGGCCCTACTTCAGAGATCCAGAAACAAAAATTGTAGCGTCGAGATGGTTAGGGCCGAGTCTACTTCTTTCGCCGGTTGGGCCTCAGAGCCCCAAGGCCGCCCTGCTATACTGCGCGACTGCACCGCGGGCCAGAGCGCGCCCCTAGCTCGAGGCTGCCAGCGGACACCGGGAAACTGAGCGGCCTGCGGGTCCAGACATCTGAGGAACGCCGCGCTCAGGCCCGTGCCTGCAGCCCGGTCCGCAGAGGGGGGGGGCCGCTCCCCCCGGTCGCCCAGTCGGGTCGCGCCGGTCCTTTCTCAGGGTGACCGCGTTCCTTCCGCCCAGAGAGGGCAAAGAGTCCCGCTCCCTCGTGTGCATCTCCCGCCCGCGCTCCGGAGCGCCCCCTAGGAAGAAAGCCCGAGCGGCGGCCACGCCTCGGTGGCGATTTTATTAGCGCTTGGTTGGGGTGGCCCGGCTGCCTGCGAGCGGGGTTTCCCCGCCCCTCCCCCCTTCCCCTCCCCCCAGGCGGCCGGAACCTCCCTGCGGAGCGGAGTGATACCGGCGGCGGCGTAGAGCGCGGTGCGGCCGAGGGGCGCCCGGGACTGCGCGGGGCGGGCGGCGGCGGAGGGAGGAGGGGAGAGAGGCGGGGCCGGGGCGGGTTGTTGTGAGGCGACTGCGCTACTGCCGGAGCGGGGCGGTTATGGCGGCTCCATATTAACAGCCTCCTCCTCCTCCGCCGCCGCCGCCGTCTCCTCCTCCTCCTCCTTTCCCTCCCGCCCGCGCTCTAAGCCATCTCCGCCTTCACCCTGACGCCTGCCTCTTCCCCTCACCTTTCCCCCTCCCCTGTTCTACCATGCCCGGCATGATGGAGAAAGGGCCCGAGTTACTGGGGAAGAACCGATCGGCCAACGGCAGCGCCAAGAGCCCGGCAGGCGGCGGCGGCAGCGGCGCCTCGTCCACCAACGGCGGGCTGCACTACTCAGAGCCCGAGAGCGGCTGCAGCAGCGACGACGAGCACGGTGGTAGCCTCGAACTCCTCCCCGCCAGCCCGCCTGCCCCCCTCCCTCTTCCCCTCCCCCAGCCCCCTCCCCTCGCCGCTCTCCCGCCCTCCCTCCCCTCAGAGCCTGGGCGCTGCGGTAGCCTCGAACTCCCGGTGCAGTGCAGCAGCACCCCCGCGACCCCCCGTCCCTCCGCCCTCGACCAATCCTCCGCCTTTGCCCCCCCCCGCTCCCCGCCCCCAATCCGCTGCCATCTCCCGGAGTGCCCCGAGTTGATATCTTCCCATCCACCCGCCGCTTCTTTCCTCCATCTAGCGATTTTTATTTTTTAAGTGTCTCTTCCTTTTTCTTTCTTTTCTTCTTTTTTATTTTTTATATATATTTTTTGGCATTGCTTTGCAGATGTTGGGATGAGAGTCGGAGCCGAATACCAAGCTCGGATCCCTGAATTTGATCCAGGTAGATATATTTGCTTAAGCAAAATCTCATATCCCCTTTCCTGGGCTTGGTTTGGGGTGGACGGGCTAGGAGTCCGGGCATGGGGCCGGGAGGGGATGCGGGGTTGGGCTGGGCAGGCATCCGTGGCGGGGAGGCTGTCAGGCTTGGCCGGGCTGTGACACTGGGCGTGTGGGCAGATGTGTGCACTGCAAGGTTAACATGGTTCCCTTCGGAGGCCACTTGCCCGCTGGGGGCATCGCCTTCCTAGCCCTTGAGCCTGGGGCAGGGTCGGGGTGAGCAGAGGGAGACGGCCCTTGGCGGAGTCCAGGGTCCGAGGCCGCGGGCTGGAGGAGCAGGCGTGCGGACTGTATGGACGAACCGTGCAAATGTCAATTGCCACCTCGCTCGCCCCGGCGCCGAGGGCCGCGCTCTGTCGGGCGGGTGGCAGAGGCCAGGGCGGCTGTCACCGGCCGGGGAAGCCAAGGGCGAGCCCTGCCGACCTGTGCGCAGCCGGGATTGTCTCTTTTCTTTCTTTTTGGCTAGGTGGTGTAGCTTTGGTCGCGGCAGCTCTGCGGAGTGCAGGAGCCGCGGAGAGAAAGGGGTGGGGGAAGGGGGTGGGGAGACGCCAGCGGCAGGCACACCTCGCTCGCCAGCCAGCTCTGGGAAGTTAGACCACAGGACAGTGGCTGCAGCTGCCAAGGAGACATTTTCTCCCCGACCAGCCAGGTTCCAGCGTCCTCTGCCAACCCAGCTTGCGGGCTCCCTGTCTACTTTTCTCCAAACAGGCTCCCCGGCGGTCACGAGATTTCAGCCTGTGCAGGGATTGGGCGAGAGTTCCGCATATGGAGGCGCCCTTGCTGGAGCCTCTCGGAGTGGAGCGCGTTTCCTTCTCCCCACCCTGCCTGAGACCCTTCTCAGTTAAGGCTTTGGACAGACTTTGAAAGGGACCCACCTTTTTTTTTCCTCCTTACAGTTTGTCAATTTTTGCCCAGTGCCCATAATATTGCGTTTGTGTCAGACATTGGATTTCTATGTTAGATATTAAAGAGCTTACTTGTATTTTCTTGGAGAGAAACAATGTTTAATTATTAGGATACAGAGGCGTGTTTTTTTGTTCCTCCTCTCCCCATTAAGACAATGCAAAATGATATTTACCAACCATTTGGATTTCAGATAGCAGCTCTTCCTCCTGTCCCAAGTGAGGAGGATGAAAAGTAATGAGTCGGGACAGTCTCATTTTTAATAGGTGAAAACAGTGATGCAAGAGTGTTCACTAGATTTGGGTTGCCTTCTAAATGACTGGCTGGGAATACATTTTATTCAAAGACTATCAGTGTGTATACTGATGGGCTTCAAATAATTTTAAATGTTTTATGAAACTAATTTTCTTTATTGATGTTGCTAGTAGGTGAATGGCACTTTCACACCACTCTGCTCCCTTTGGGTTTACTTGACATTTGGAAAGAGCACATTTTGGCTTTAAGAGACTGAATTCACGCCAGGCGCGGTGGCTCACGCCTGTAATCCCAGCACTTTGGGAGGCTGAGGCGGGTGGATCACGAGGTCGGGAGATCAAGACCATCCTGGCTAACACGGTGAAACCCCGTCTCTACTAAAAATACAAAAAATTAGCCGATCGTGGTGGCACGCACCTGTAAACCCAGCTACTCGGGAGGCTGAGGCAGGAGAATCATTGCTTGAACCCGGGAGGCGGAGGTTGCAGTGAGCCGAGATCACGCCATTGCACTCCAGCCTGGGCAACAGAGTGAGACTCCATCTCAAAAAAAAAAAAAAAAAACTGAATTCAATTCCTAACTCCCAACTCTTCTTTTTGTGGTCTGAGCAAGCCACAGGCTTTCCCTGAGCCTCAGTATTCCTAGCTATAAAAACTTTTTTTTTTTTTTTTTTTTTTGAGGTGAAGTCTTACTCTGTCGCCCAGGCTGGAGTGCAGTGGCGTAATCTCGGCTCACTGCAACCTCTGCCTCCCGGGTTCAAGCGATTGTCCTGCCTCAGCCTCCTGAGTAGCTGGGACTACAGGCACACGCCACCATGCCTGGCTAATTTTTGTATTTTTAGTAGAGATGGGGTTTCACTGTGTTGGCCAGGCTGCTCTCGAACTCCTGACCTCGTGATCTGCTGCCTCGACCTCCCAAAGTGTTGGGATTACAGGTATGAGCCATCGCGCCCAGCCTATAAAAACTAATGGAATTCTTGCCAGGATTAAATGATGGGCATATGGCAATTATTCTATAAACATTAAAATTTGTAATTATGAAGAATTATTCTGGATATATTCACACCTTTCTGATTTGGAGCTTTCATTGGGAGTCTGTGTGGTTTTTTTTGGTAGTGATAGTTATTTCCAAATTATACCTCAGCAGCTACAATTATTTTTTAAGTTAATAAACATACCTATATTTTTGCCCCAGTGGGTAGATTTCTGAGTCAATATTTATTTCATAGACAACTATATACAGTTCGATTAGGGGTCTTGTGTTTAAGAGCCAGACTTAATGCTGGAACAAACTTGTACATGCCATAGCATTACATTGGAAAGCATTGATCTGATCATTGGAAAGCATCTTTTTTGTTTCAGGATAAACACTGGAACAAATTTCAAAATTTTGAGAATAATCACTTAAACAGAATAATATTAATGTGATTTTGCATGGCCACTGGTTTTTTTTTTTTTGAAGAAGCTATTTTTATCTTTATTTTTTAAACAACTTTTTTTTTTTATTATTATACTTTAAGTTTTAGGGTATATGTGCACAATGTGCAGGTTAGTTACATATGTATACATGTGCCATGCTGGTGTGCTGCACCCATTAACTCGTCATTTAGCATTAGGTATATCTCCTAATGTTATCCCTCCCCCCTGCCCCCACCCCACAACAGTCCCCAGAGTGTGATGTTCCCCTTCCTGTGTCCGTGTGTTCTCATTGTTCAGTTCCCATCTATGAGTGAGAACATGCGGTGTTTGGTTTTTTGTCCTTGCGATAGTTTACTGAGAATGATGATTTCCAATTTCATCCACGTCCCTACAAAGGACATGAACTCATCATTTTTTATGGCTGCATAGTATTCCATGGTGTATATGTGCCACATTTTCTTAATCCAGTCTATCATTGTTGGACATTTGGGTTGGTTCCAAGTCTTAGCTATTGTTAACCAACTTAATTGACGATAATATTTTGCCTATTTTGAAACCTAAATAGAATATTTGAGGAGGAAAAAAATCACTGAAATGTTACTTTTTTTAAAGTCATTGAAGTCATATTTTCAATTTATTTACTCAGACTAATTGAATTTTATTATTAGAATAAGGATAAACATCACTTTCTGTAAGTTCACTTACTCATTTTCTGCTTAATAGTCTTCTACAGAAGCATGCTAAACCTAAGGACACAATTAAAACTAGCTACCATTTAAACTTAGGAGGGCTTTTCTTATCTGGTAAAAGCTAATCTTATCAATCAAATGTAGATTATTAGTTATTGGGCATTTTTTACAGGGAAATACTGGGCCTCTGTCATTCAACATTATACTGCTGATCTATTTTATTCTTATTTATAAGTGTTGTGCTGTTGTGTGAAGTTTTTCACATCAGTATAATTAGGTGAGAATATAAACATTACCTTGGGAAAAATAATAGATGAAAAGTTTTTTTTGTTTTGTTTTTTTTTTGTTTTTTTTAGGCAGAGTCTTGCTCTGTCCCCCAGGCTGGAGTGCAGTGGTGCGATCTTGGCTCACTGCAACCTCCACCTCCTGGGTTCAAGCAATTCTGCCTCAGCCTCCCAAGTAGCTGGGACTACAGGCACATGCCACCATACCCGGCTAATTTTGTTTTTTGTATTTTTGTAGAGAAAAGGTTTCACCATGTTGGCCGGGCTAGTCTTGAACTCCTGGTCTCAGGTCATCCGCGTGCCTTGGCCTCCCAAAGTGTTGGGATTACACGGTTGAGCCACCACACCCTGCCAAAAAGATATTTATTAATTATGGAAATTGAGAAATGGTTAGCTCCTCTCTCTTCTCTTTCTCATTATCTTTGTTTCCTAAGCCACTCAATCCATCTTTATGGAGATTGTTGACCCATAGCTCTAGAAGTCATTTGGAAGAAAAATTCCTTGGGTGCTGAGACTGTAAAATCTGCTATGTAGAATGTAGAAAAATTGAGAGGATTTTTTACAGAGACTAATTTTATTGGAAAAGGTGATACTGATGATGATAAGAGTTAAGCAGGTAAAGAATGAATTGGCCAGGGGTCATAGCTCATGAGTATAATCCCAGCTCTTTGGGAGGCTGAGGTGAGAGGATCGCTTGAGCCCAGGAGTTTGAGACCAGCCTGGGCAACATAGTGGGACCCTGTCTCCACAAAAAATTCAAAAATTAGCCAAGTGTTGTGGCATACCACATCTGTACTTCCAGCTACTTAGAAGACTGAGGTGGGAGATCACTTGAGTCCAGGAAGTTGAGGCTGCAGTAAGCTATGATGGCGCCACTGTACTATACCCTGGGTGACAAAATAAGACTTGGTCTCAAAAAAAGAAAGAATTATTAAAGTGATTATTTTAGGAAATATGAGAAGAATTGAGATTTATATTGGAATTACTGAAGTTAAGAGATTAGGAACAGTTTACCTTAATTATGGAACCATTGATAATAATGTCTTTACTAACTAGATTTCTGATTATTTTCTTTCCGTTGTTCACTAGATCTTCCCAACGTTTATTTAGTGCCTACTAACTGTACTTACATCATGAGGAACAATTTTTGTGTGTAGAGGCTAATTTTTTATCATATGCCTTTAATCTAATATGGCATAATAACCTTGGATGAACTACCTGACTTCTCTAGGCCTTAGTTTTCTCGTTTGTAAAAGGTTGATGATGTTAAGTATATCACAAGATTAAGTGAAAATTAATGTGTGTAAAGTAGTGGTTTTCAAAATACTTTACTTACATATCCATGAAATAATTTTGAAAAAAGATTCACGTATTTTTAGTCGACATCTGTTATTTGTCACTGAGTTTAAATAGTTGAAAAATATAATCTGTAGTGTATTGAAAATATTAAGTTTGATAATAAAGTCTTTATCTGTATTTTAAATGTATCCAATTAAATATAAATACTACAGTGATGTGATAGTACTAGTTTGTAAAATATGTAGACAAGCTTCTAACATTCTCAAAGTTTACATTGTTCCTTTTTGTCTTTGAAGTCATTTCCATGCATTTTCTCCACAGAATTTTATCATATATAATTTTTTTTGTGCTTTGAAGTGCTTTATTGGGCCCGGCGCGGTGGCTCACGCCTGTAATCCTGGCACTTTGGGAAGCCAAGGCAGGTGGATCCCTTGAGGTCAGGAGTTCAAGACCAGCCTGGCCAACATGGCAAAACCCCATCTCTACTAAAAATACAAAAAATCAGCTGGGCGTGGTAGTGGGCACCTGTAATCCCAGCTACTTGGGAGGCTGAGGCAGGAGAATTGCTTGAACCTGGGAGGCGGAGGTTGGAGTGAGCCGAGATTGCACCATTGCACTCCAGCCTGGCGACAGAGCGAGACTCTGTCTCAAATAAATAAATAAAATAAAATAAAAGTGCTTTATTGATCACCTGTGAGTAAGGTTCTGAGTGTTAAATCTCTTCTGGCTTGAGTTATTACAATTAGTGCATAATTGATTAAAACTCTAGTAGTTATGGTGCCTTGAGTAAAGGAGGGTTTTCCTGACACCCTGTTTGAAACCCTGGAGGGTTTAAAATTTTGGGCCATGTACTCTTGTAAGATTTGGAATACATGAGAGATGGTGCCCTTTTATTTTTTTTAAGTGAGAGAAGGGTATTTGTGAAGAGAGATGATGGAAGTAGAATGAATCTAACCTCTTATCATTTGACCGCAGGTGAGTTTTCAGGCAGATTGTCTTGGGAAAGAGAAAATAGGGAAGTTAAAGTTGTGAAAATTGATTCTCTTAAAATTTTCTCATGCTCATGTACCCTGGGAAAGTCTTTGTTTACCCAAGTTTGAAGTTAGTACATATTAAGTATATAATTTAGAACCTAGTATATATAAATAGTAAAATGTTAAAATATGTTTAGTACAGCTTAATATTCTCAATATTTAAGTTCTTTATATAGTATATTTGTTCCATGATCTTCGTCAAAGTCCTTATTTTTAATGTCTAGATTTTTATTTTTATTGATGTAGAAATCCTAGTTTATCGAATTATATTTTCCTTTCCTAGTTGTTGGTTTTCTCCAGTAGTCTTATAAATGCAAGACTCCAGTTAAAAGATCTAATAATTTCAAAGGGATTAACCTTTAAATGTTTTTACTTAAAACTGAAGACAACTGATTGTTCAACAATTTCATTTTCAGAACTGATAACGCTACTATAGTCTTTTAAAATTATGGTAGCTTGCTATCTAGGTTTTGGTTTGTTTTTTAATCTATTCAGAAGATAAGGTACTTCTAAGGCATGGTTGTTTTGTTGGTGAGTCAGGTTTGAGTCTCAGTACTGTTTCTAAATATCAGATAGTTTTGAGGTATAATCTTAAATATTGTTACTGTTAAAGACAAAATAAACATGGGGTTAATGTCTGTTCAATGTTTTAGTTCATTCTGACTTTTACAATGAAAAAGGTAAAACTTATTGGACACAAAGTGTCCCAAGAGGTAGATAAGTTATTTTTAATAGCACATGTTACTTTCTCCTGTTTTATAGGAAAGGAATCACGTCTGAATTGTGAGAAAAACATAATGGGTCATTTACAGCTATTCAATTTCATTTTCAAGGGGTTGGTGAGAGAGGACATCAGCCGTTTTTGAGATACAGCCCCTTGAGGATTTATTCATTTATTTTGTAGTTGATAAGGTGAGAAGAAGCCTTTTTAGGATAAAGAAGGAAGGAACTTAAGAAAGAACTGTCTTCAATAAGCATATACTAGTAATAATTAAGTCTTAGGTAATGCTTACCATATGCCACGTACTTACATTAATTCATTTAATTTTTGAGCAACTCTGTCAGGTAGGTACTTTCATCATCCATATTTTTAGAGAGAAGGAAAACTGAGGCACAGACAGATTAAATAGATTTATCCAAGGTGACACAGCTACCAAGTAGCAGAGCTGGTATTCAGACTCTGGGAGTTGGGCTTCGTAGTTCATATTCTTAACCATTGCACTGAAATATCCCTTACTTCCTGTATCAGTCATCTCTTGGGCCTAGTTGACACATATATAATTGAAAATAGTAGAGTCCAGTTCAGAGTTAGGGAAGGAAAATTGCGAAATGCTTAATTAGGCATTCTCTGCTATCAGGATTGCTCTATGTATGCTGCTCCTCTATCTACCTGCTCACCGATATTGGAAGAGCTGTTAGTTCCCACAACTTGGATACCAGTTTCTGTCAGATGGGGCCCTTAATTACAATGCTAATAATGTTTTTGAAACTTATTTATTTATTTATTGAGACAGGGTCTTGCTCTGTTGCCCAGGCTGGAGTGCAGTAGTGTGGTCATGGCTCACTGCAGCCTTGAACTCCTGGGCTCAGGCGATCCTCCCACCTCAGCCTCTTGAGTAGTTGGGACTACAGGTGCACACGATCACATCCAGCTAATTTTTTGTGTTTTTAGTAGAGACAAGGTCTTGCTATGTTTCCCAGGCTGGTCTCAAACTCCGGGGCTCAAGCCATCCGCCCTCCTTGGCCTCCCAAAGTGCTGGGATTATAGGTAAGAGCCACTGCACCCAGCCTGTAGCTGTTACCTTTTATGGGGAAAAATTTAAAAAAAGTTTAATATCTCTTTGAGAAGGGACATTTAATGAAGATATTTTAATTCAGACTTTCTGTAAGGCAAGAATGAGATGCAGGGAAATTATGTTTAAATATTTAGCATGATATGCCGTTAAGACTTGGGACTTAATGGAAAACTTTCTTTGTTGCATTTCGTGTTCTATTAAGTAGGATTTAAATGATCTTATTGTCATGACCATTGTGCAGAATAATCAGTTCCATGTTAAAGGATTGAAGTTTAGGATATTCACTTTATATAACATTAGATTTTATGAATTAAGTAAAGGCTTCTGACCAACTTAAATAGGATTTTTGTTTTATTACCATTGAGTGGGTTGGCTATTTTGTGTTTATATTTTTATTTTACAGGGTTAAAACTTAAATATGTATCTTAATATTGAAGTTTTAAAAAGATATATCAAAGTTTCTTTTCTTTCTTTTTTTTTTTTTTTTTTTTTTTTTTTGAGATGGAGTTTCGCTCTTGTTGCCCAGGCTGGAGTGCAATGGTGTGATCTCGGCTCACCGCAACCTCCGCCTCCCAGGTTCAAGTGATTATCCTGCCTCAGCCTCTTGAGTAGCTGGGATTACAGGCATGCGCCACCACACCCGGCTAATTGTATTTTTAATAGAGATGAGGTTTCTCCATGTTGGTCATGCTGGTCTCGAACTCCCGACCTCAGGTGATCCGTCCACCTCGGCCTCTCAAAGTGCTGGGATTATAGACTTGAGCCACAGGGCCTGGCCAGTTTATTTTCATTGAATATAAATTTTTTCATAATGAACCTTAATTTGGCATTTTCCTAAATTCTCAGCTCATGCTTTTGTGTCCTTTTTTATTAAAGATATGACAAAATACAAAAGGCTTTCGAATACTTTGGTAGTGTTTCTTCTTTCAGTTCTCTTTTCTTCTTAATTTTCCTTATAACATACATAGAATTTTAAGATAAATTTATATTTTATAGCAATGTATGATTTTTTAACTAAAATTTGTTGATCAGTAATGATATATGATGCTTCTCTAAAAATAAAAATATTTAATGATATTATATTATTGCCTGATAGATAACTTCTCTAGCTGGAGATTATAGTAGTAGTTCTCTGACCCCTAGAAATGAATGTTCTTCATTCCAAGTATCTTATAACTTTATAAAGGATTACAGTTTAACCTCGGAATTATTTTAATATGTCAGTAATTTTGGAATTCTGGCTATTAATGGTAATTATCGGTACCACATAAAAGTCATTTATGAGCCGGGTGCAGTGGCTAACACCTGTCATCCCAGCACTTTGGGAGGCTGAGGCGGGTGGATCATCTGAGGTTGGGAGTTCGAGACTAGCCTGACCAACATGGAGAAACCTTGTCTCTACTAAAAATACAAAGTTAGCCAAGCATGGTGGCGTGTTCCTGTAATCCCAGCACTTTGGGAGGCTGAGGCAGGCGGATCACGAGGTCAGGAGTTCAAGACCAGCCTGGCCAACATGATGAAACCCTGTCTCTACTAAAAATAACAAAAATTAGCTGGGTGTGGTTGTGCATGCCTGTAATCCCAGCTACTTAGGAGGCTGAGGCAGGAGAATCGCTTGAACCTGAGAGGCAGAGGTTGCAGTGAGCTGAGGTCACGCCATTGCACTCCAGCCTGGGCAACAAGAGTGAAACTTCATCTCAAAAAAAAAAGTGGCAGCAATGCTTCATTTGTTGGTAGTTTTAATGAATTAAATGCAACTAAGAATTAGGTAGACCAGAAAAATATCACTGAATGATTAAAATAATAGAATCTACAGGCACGTAACTTGGCTCTGGCATAGCTATCTCAGGCCTTCATTCATGCTATTGTTTCTTAATTTATATGAAGTTTTAATAGGGCTTGATTTTTCTGACTTTCTAGGCTATAAAATATTAGAAATAAATTAGAGGCTAGGTGTGGTGGCATGCAGCTGTGATCCCAACTACTTGGGAGGCTGAGGCAGTAGGATTGCTCGAGGCCAGTAGTTCAAGACCAGCCTAGGCAGCATAGCAAGACTTCACATGTTTAAAAAGAAAGAAAGAAATTAGAAAATGTTACTATTCTTCCAGGTTAGAAGTAGACTTTCAGATTATATTAAGAAGAAGTTGCGTTAACTTTTTTATCTTGACTTTTTTTTTTTTTTGAGATGGAGCCTGGCTCTGTTACCCAGGCTGGAGTGCAGCTGTGTGACCTCGGCTCACTGGCAACCTCTGCCTCCTGGGTTCAAGCAGTTCTCCTGCGTCAGCCTCCCAAGTAGCTGGATTACAGGTGCGCGCCACCACACCTGGCTAATTTTTGTATTTTTAGTAGAGACGGGATTTCACTATGTAGGCCAGGCTAGTCTTGAACTCGTGACCTCAGGTGATCCGCCTGCCTTAGCCTCCCAAAGTGCTGGGATTACAGGCATGAGCCACCACACCCAGACTTTTATCTTTTTATCTTGACTTTTCTTCTAATGTAGATCACAAACTTTTATAAATATAAGATGTAATAAATGAACTTAATTTAAAAGTGAATAGCTGGCAGACCCTTAGCAAGAAATAAAATTAAATAAAAAGCAGACAAAAGTGTTTAAAAATTACAGCAATCTTGGCCCATTTAGACATGGGGCAAAAAAAAAAAATACCTGAGGCATTCTCTCTCGTTTAAAAGTCTTGAATTTTTAATGATGATCTCTAAGTAATGTATGGAAGTTTAAATCAGATTTATTACCTTCTGTCAAGTAGAGATATGTAATGTACTGAAGAAAGTCTTTTTTAGTTTAAAAGGGATAAACCGGCATTTGCAAAATTTCCTTAGTTTTTATAAGCAAAATATTTACTATATGTAATGTAAATCTGTTTTCCTTCTGTTTTCCTATATTTTCTTTACTTGTCCTCCTTTGCTGCAGGTACTGTACTAAAACAGAAATAAAGCTTACTTTTTTTTTTTTTTTTGAGACGGAGTCTCGCTCTTTCACCCAGGCTGGAGTGCAGTGGCGCATCTCAGCTCACTGCAAGCTCCGCCTCCCGGGTTCACGCCATTCTCTTGCCTCAGCCTCCCTGGTAGCTGGGACTACAGGTGCCTGCCACCAGCCTGGCTAATTTTGTTTTTGTATTTTTAGTAGAGACGGGGTTTCACCATGTTAGCCAGGATGGTCTCGATCTCCTGACCTTGTGATCCGCCTGCCTCGGCCTCCCAAAGTACTGGGATTACAGGCATGAGCCACCGTGCCTGGGCAGCTTACTTTGTTTCTACTTATTTTCAGTGTAAATAAAATCCATCATATTCAAAGTAATTATCTTTTTCCCCCAGGTGCTACAAAGTACACAGATAAAGACAATGGAGGGATGCTTGTATGGTCTCCATATCACAGTATCCCAGATGCCAAATGTAAGTTTTCTGAAGTTGAATGTTAATGTCAGCAGGAGTTTATCAGCCAATTCAAAATATGACTTACGTTTGTTTTTGGGTCTTATAGATTCTCATAAGAAAACAGTTTTGTCTTTGTTTTATTTTTTATTTTTTTATTTTTTTTTTAATGGAGGTTGTTATATTAGAATGTTTTTCCTTTTGGAAGATAGTGGGTTGATCATTCCAATTTGTGTCAGGCCCATGAAGAATGAAAAAACCTAGGATCTGATGGCATTGCTGCTTAAATCCTCAAGCAGGGGAGGGAGTTACTATGTAGACATCTGCCCAGGCTTTTCCTCAGTATATGGAGCGGTAAAGACATGCCTTCAAACTTCAAAGAGCCCACTATCATTACCATTTTAAAGAGGAAAGGGGAAAGAACTGACTTCAGCAGCCATCAGGTCATCTTTGTGCTCTCCATTTCTGGACGGAGACCTTCTGGATCATTGACCATGCACTTCTTGAATCATGGTGTGGCTTTAGACTTCAATGTGATGTAGCGGACCTGATCCTTTGCGGCACATCAGATATAGGAAACGTGCAGGTAACAACACTAAGATACCCACCCCTCCATTCAGTTATCATTTAGTTTATTAAATAACATCAACAACAACAACGACACTGAACAGTTAATTCTAGCAGCTGTAAGATAAACTTGTCTTTTTAGAATATTTACTAACATCTTAAAGGTGTCTGATTTATTTAGTACCATGAAAATTAATGATATCCTATCATGAATAGTAAGTTGAATCATGCTTATTGATGCAATAGAGCTAAAAATTGAAAACTGAGTATGTTTCTGCTTACCTGATAAATCTTTCTATTTAAGAGCTATAAAACACCAGCTAAAGGTCTAGCTGGTAATCTAGAAATTGTGTGCCCTTGAAGCATTCCTAACAGAAAACATGAAATTATTCATCTGGCCTGAGACTGTTTAATGAGAACCTGAAAGAGACTATTGGTTTCCCAGGTTCAATCCTCATTACAGACAAAGGTTTTCATTCACAAACTGAGCATCAGGGTATCATTGAATTTTGCTGGCTTAGTTCTGTTTTACACAATGGTTCATTTCTTAGCAAAGTGGAAAACAAAATTCAGCCAGAGTGTGCTGGTAGTGTAGTGTTCATGCGGAATATTTAAATGAAGGTGTAGTGCAATGGTTTTCAACCCTGGGTGTGCATTGGAATCACTTGGGGAATTTTTTTTTTTAAGTACTTATGTCTAGTCTCTTTCTCAGACCAATTAAGTTAGAGGCTTCAAGGGTGGATCCTGGATGTCTTACTTTTTTTTTTTTTTTTTTTTTTTTTTTGAGACGGAGTCTCGCTCTGTCGCCCAGGCTGGAGTGCAGTGGCGGGATCTCGGCTCACTGCAAGCTCCGCCTCCCGGGTTCACGCCATTCTCCTGCCTCAGCCTCCCAAGTAGCTGGGACTACAGGCGCCCGCCACTACGCCCGGCTAATTTTTTGTATTTTTAGTAGAGACGGGGTTTCACCGTTTTAGCCAGGATGGTCTCGATCTCCTGACCTCGTGATCCGCCCGCCTCGGCCTCCCAAAGTGCTGGGATTACAGGCGTGAGCCACCGCGCCCGGCCTGGATGTCTTACTTTTTAAAAGCTCCCACACTGATTGTAATGCATAGCCAGGTTTGGAAACCACAGGTCAGTTGGTATTGTTCAGCATATATTTAGACCTGTCATGTATTTAAGTGCTTTGGGCTGTAAACAAAATATAATATTTGGGTTTTCTACACAAAAAGCTTACCCTTTGGGGGGAGATTTGATAGCATACATTTAACAATTTTATTCTAATAGCATTATTATAAGAGTGTATTCATATATGAAGACTATACTGACTAATAATCACAGCAAATACTTAAAAAATTCTTAAAATGGACCAGGTGCTGTTCTGGGCATTTTCCATTTATTAACTCATTTAATCATAGGAGGAAGGTACTGTTTTTAACAACTATTTAGAGTGAGGAAACTAAGGTACAGAAAGGTCAAAAGTTACTTGGCCAAAGTCAAAAAAATAGCAATAAGCCGATAATCAAACCCAGGTAGACTAGCTGTTCCAGAATCAGGATTCTTAACCACTGCTTCTCAAAAATATTTCCAAAAAAGTTAATTTATACATACATACACATATATAAATTAATTAGAATCAAGGCAGAGTGATTGATTATATGGAGTTCACATAAAACTGAGTTCTGGTGAATGTGTCAGACTTCTCAGCAATGAGGCCTTGAAATAATAGCCAGTTTATCATCATTGAAACTGCTTATCTAAATAATTCTGTTGGCTTAATTACGTATGGAAGATAAATGAAAGTGGAATACTCAAACATGCTTTGTGTAACAAGCAGGAAGAGCTGAAGAAAATTTAGAGTACTGAAGCATACATAAATGTGTCGTTATTATGTATAGCTGGCAAAACTATAAACTATCCTTTATACATCAATCAAAAATGGAATGGTAAAGGCTTTGGATCAACTCGAAATATGTGAAAGTGTCTTAAACAGCTAAGTCTCCAAATAAAGACTATTAAAAAAGGAATTATCTTAATATTTTATACAACAATTAGATCTATTGGCTACCCATAGATTGGTCTTTTTCTGCATACAAAAATACAGTAATGTCATTGAATTTAGTAAGTATAATGTGTAGTCGTAGAGATAAGTTATACTAAATAAAATTTTAAACCAGGTGAGCATCTGATCTTGCTATGATAAGTCTCTTTTTGTAACATTTCATGGGAGGTGCCTTTGGCTTTTTTTTTTACCCTGGAATATAAATTGTTTTAATTTGCTATGTTAAGAACAAAAGTAGACCTAGGTAAATGAAGTAAATGAGAATAATTAATTATATAACATTATTTCATTGCAGTGGATGAATACATTGCAATTGCAAAGGAAAAGCATGGCTACAATGTGGAACAGGTATGTAGAGAAACACTTCAGTAGTAAGGCTTGTCCCAATATTTACCAAATCTAGATTATCTCATGATAGTTTCTGTCCTAACAGCGTGCATAAGCTTGACCAGCTATTTTATAGATACCACAAAAGTCCTAGCAAAGAGTGACCTTTCAATATTAAGGAGTTTGCTTTTATAAACATTATTCATCTCAAGGGCTTAAATGTTTTTCTTTCAATATATCTGTTTCTTATTCTACTTTGAGTTCTGAAAGTTTCTGGAAGCCTTCAGTATTCCTCTGGCAAATGCTTACCAAAATGAAAAGTTAAGGTTTTGGTGTAATTTGGAGTAAGTGTACATAGATAGAACTTTAAAACAAATCTTTTCTTTATAAAAAATTTTAATGATACAGGTAATTCTCTTTTGACTTTTTGTTCTACAGGATCTAAAAGTTAAACTTTACATTTAAAGGAATATTTAAGACTTTTAAATTTTGAATGAAATCACAAAAGGCTTTTTTTGTTAGGTAACTTCAAAAGGATATATCTATATATAATATATGTCTGTATGTAGAGTTAAGTCTCTTCAAATAAAAATTGTAACAAAATCAAGAAATTATCTCAATATTTTACACTATAATTAGATCTATTGGCTACCCACAGATTGGTCTTTCTCTGCATACAAAATATAGTAATGTCATTGAATTTAGTAAGTATAACATACATAGTTATGGAGATAAGTTATATTAAATAGACTATAATGTATTTATATGATGTTTATTATGTAATACACTCTATTATATATAATATACTATATATAGAGAGACAAATATATGGTACATTACCCTTAGTAATGAGGGAATGGAAATTACAGAATAATGAAATGAAAGAGATCTTAAATCTCATTTCAACTAAGTATTATTTCAACCTTTATCAGAATTAATAGTAAAATAGGTAGATTTGTTTTAAGATAAGTAAGAAAGGTAAATTATCTGTAACCTGGGTTATCAAGAGCTAACTTTATAGTCCAGTTACATGGTAAAGGAATGTTTTTGTGAAATTGAGATGTTTATTTTATATCTATCTAAAGGTAGTTAACTTTTTTGTGGATTTTGAAGCCTTTGATTGCCTATTTTGTTTTTAAGCCTTGTCTTTCTGTTTAATGTTTGAGAAAGTTAATCCTTTAAAATAGGACTATACCTTAATATGTTTGTTTTCCTGTGTATTTTAAAGGACTGTTATCAGAGTACAGAAATTAACAAACTCACTATTTATAAAGTTCCTATATCTCTTGGAAAATAAAAGTTTGTGCCCTAAATGATGCTTAATACCTTATAATAAAGAGAAAGGCCTACTAAAAATAGAAGGGGAAGTTATGGAATTTTTGGAAATTGTCCATTTCAGTCTTTGTTATGATTTGGTAATCAAGTCATTGAAGTTATTTATATGCCTCCTAATAATTCTATTTATATGTTCTGATAATAAGTAAATGTGGTTTAAAAAATTGTTAAAGTTGCAGTGGAGGTACTTTTACTTCTTGGACATGGTTAGCCTGTGATACACTTGTAAAAGATTAAAACTTAAATGTCTCTCTACTAAACCCCAACTGAGCATTTCTGGCTTTGTGGCATCTGATCATTTCATTCAAGTATGGATTTATTGGAAATTTTCCTTTTAGCAAATTTTTTCCTACATATTGACAAATTTTAAAATGTGGGTTAAACTCTTGGTGTGAACCTACAAATCTGCTTTGTAGTCACTCTCCTCAGCTCACTGTTTTTCCTAGATTCTGCAGCAAATATGGTATGTAAGAACATTCACTGTTCTGAGGCCCTGATTTAAAAGAAATAAATAAATGAGGTCTGCTACCTGAGCGCCCCTGATTTAAAGTCCCAAACTGTGAGTCTATCTTCAGTCGAAGTCATAGGCTTAAGATTTTAATCTAATTTGTGTTTAACTTTCTTAAGTGTGATGGAACATAAGTCCATTAAAACCAAAGGGGAATGATTTCTCTTCAAAGGCACTTGGCATGTTGTTCTGGCATAAACATAACATTGAGAAGTCCCTTGCTGATCTCCCTAATTTCACTCCCTTTCCGGATGAGTGGACAGTGGAAGATAAAGTCCTATTTGAACAAGCCTTTAGTTTTCATGGAAAGAGCTTTCACAGGATTCAGCAAATGGTATGGTAATTTTAATCTTACTGTGGTTCATATGTGAATGATATCTTAAGCTACTATTAAACACTTCCTAATTATTAAATACAAAAACATTCTTCAATTTAATTTTAAAAACTATTTGTAAGTAGGTATATTTATATACAATCCTGTTTTCTGCAACCACTCTTACATGACAGTTATGTGCTATTGCATTATAGTAAATTAGCTTTTATTTTGACTTAAATAACATGTAATAATATACATGTAATAAGAGTTATTTCGTATGTTTATTGTTCCAGGAAAAAAAATAATTTCAACTTTATTTTTAAATGTTTCACTCTTTGACACGAGGATTTTTTCCAATTTATATATTTTTGGATATGGAAGCCCTTTTTAAAAAATCCCATATTAGGCCGGGCGCGGTGGCTCACGCCTGTAATCCAGCACTTTGGGAGGCCGAGGCGGGCAGATCATGAGGTCAGGAGATCGAGACCATCCTGGCTAACACAGTGAAACCCCGTCTCTACTAAAAATACAAAAAATTAGCTGGGTGTGGTGGCATGCGCCTGTAGCCCCAGCTACTTGGGAGGCTGAGGCAGAAGAATAGCTTGAACCCGGGAGGCAGAGGTTGCAGTGAACCGAGATTGCACTACTGCATTCCAGCCTGGGCAACAGCGCGAGACTCTGTCTCAAAAAAAAAAACAAAAAAAACAAAAAAACAAAAAAAATATTATTTCAATATTGTCCAGATGGTGCTGCTTTTTTTCTTTCTTTCTTTTTTTTTTAATGGAGAGAAACTGCTCTGTATTTCTAGTTCCTACATTTTTAGTATTGTGTCAAAATAATGTAAATCTGAGAAGTTCCTGCATTAAACGATTTTAACCTGAGTAGATGAAAATTAGATAATATTTGCAAATATATCTAGGTGTCTTCCATAATGGAAGAGAACATTTTTGGTGGGGAAGTTGCATCCTTGTTTGTTACTCTGACAGATCAGTGCATGATCATTAGTCATTTTAATACTCAGAGACTTCATTTGATGGCCAAAGCCTGTTTGCATTATTTACCATTTTAAGACCTGGATTTAAAACAAAGTTATTCAGAAAAATTTGTTAAGAATTGAATAGCTTTTCTTTAAAACATCTTGCTAATTGAAAGAAGCAAGACACAAAAGGTCACATATTGTATGATTCCCTTTATGTAAAATGTCCAGAATAGGCAAATCCATAGAGACAGAAAGTAGATTAGTGGTTGCCAGGGACTGGTGGAAGGGGAGAATAGGGAATGATTGCTAATGGGTACCGGATTTCTTTTTGAGATTATGAAAATGTTCTGGAATTAGATAGAGGTGGTGATTGTACAAGTTAGTGAATTCACCAAAACCACTAATATGTACACTTAAAATAGAGAATTTTATTTTATGTGAATTACATATATTGAATACTAACATGGCTGCGCTGGGAACTTCTGGGGACATTCTCACCAGATTAGTTTGTGACCTCTTCCCCTCCTCTCCCAGAACAAATAGGAATATTCATTCAGAAATGTCAGTGAAATTGATATGGGATACTGACTGTAGTAGTACTTTTTAGCTCTATAATTCATAAAGGTACCCATGAAATATTTTTTTATTATGCCTTTACTAAATAGTAAAGATATCATCAAAATTATTCATTTTGTTTATGAATTAAACTTGCTGATATTAACATGATTTTTTTTAAGCTTCCAGATAAGACAATTGCAAGCCTTGTAAAATATTACTATTCTTGGAAAAAAACTCGCTCTAGGACAAGTTTGATGGATCGCCAGGCTCGTAAACTAGCTAATAGACATAATCAGGGTGACAGGTAGGTTGGTTACCTTCATATAGTTACATTGTTAGGGACACTGCATTGTATTGCTTACATTTCCTAAGGCAGAAAAGTTATCACAACACATTGTAAATATTCCTTATTCTTACATTTATGTTTCTACTCTGACAAGAAGAGCCAAGTGGTTAGAAGTTTTAATATTAAGAGCTCTTTCACCTCTTTTAATTTTAATCACAAATGCTTCCTTTTAGTATTGATATATTTAATACACATATTTAGAATATATTAAAGAATATGTTCTATGAAAAAGGTCTTTTTATAATTACCTGAGTAACTGAAACCCTTATTATTGAGGCTAAATCTTTTGATAGTATAAAATCATTTTGTTTCATTTTTGTCTGTCTTTATTCTCCAATGAAATTTAAGTATTATGTCAATTTGTATGTGTTCCCATTTCCCAAATGATATTTCTTTTTAAATCCCTTTCCCACTGGGTCTCTGTTTTTGAGCTAGAAGTGTTTGCTAAAAGAATTCTGTATACCCAATGAGATAAATGTTTCTGAACACTACAGAAATCTGAATTAAAAGCTCATCTTCCCAAGTACAACTCTTATTCTGTTAAATAATATTTAGTAAAATTATTTAGATATATATATTACAGTTTGATAAGAGCACTAGAATACAATAAAAAGAAGGGAATTGGTTGGGCACAGTGGCTCATGCCTGTAATCCCAGCACTTTGGGAGGCTGAGGCGGGCAGATCACTTGAAGTCAGGTTTAAGACCAGCCTGGCCAACATGGTGAAACCCCGTCTCTACTAAAAATATAAAAATTAGCCAGGCGTGGTGCTGGGCACCTGTAATCCCAGCTACTTGGGAGACTGAGGTGAGAGAATCGCTTGAACCCAGGAGGCAGAGGTTGCAGTGAGCCAAGATCATGCCATTGCACTCCAGCCTGGGCAATAAGAGTGAAACGCTGTCTTAAAAAAAAAAAAAAAGGGAATTAAGTGTACTAATTTTTGTTTCTTCTCAGTGATGATGATGTAGAAGAAACACATCCAATGGATGGGAATGATAGTGATTATGATCCCAAAAAAGAAGCCAAAAAAGAGGTAATGATGATCACTAGAAGTACTTGTGATTGTTCTACAAATCTGCTGAAAAAGAATGAACAGTACTTCGTATTAAGAAAAACTTTTTAATGTAATGCTTTATGAGATAGTAAATTTCAGTGTTAATTAGCAATACAGTCATACCTAGAACCCCAGTTAACCAAGTTGTTGAAAGTTGAAAATACCATTGAAACTGGAAAAAGATCTGAGTTTGTTTAAACTTAGCATTTGCTAGTTATGTGACCTCATTCAGTTTAGTGACTCTCATTCTTCTGAAGAAACCCAATGCCATGGGCCATTCATCACCTTAAGCTCTTTCATCAATGTTATTTAAAAAATTCTCTTCTACTGTAATTTTGTGTTTTACTGATTTTCTTTCTACTGCTAAATATTCTCAAATTCCTTAATTCCTTCATTTTCTCCCCCAAGTCTGCCTTACCTTTGTTTCCCAGAAACGTGGTCCCAATGATCAACTATTCGAATCTCCTTCTTTCCCATTTCCCCATTCCTTTAACTCCCCACTTCCCTTATCCTTCTGCTATACCATCCCTAACCCTGTAACCTCATGATGCTGGATTCGTTGCTATTCACGGTCTAAGAGATGCAGCAGGAGAAAATGATACAATTATGTAAATTGTTGCTACTATGAAAAACAGTTTCCAGTCTCACTGTAGTCCTTAAGTGCCTCAGTTTTTAATCTCTAAGTTCCAGGTTTTTTTCTTAGTAAAATGAAAATAATAGGATTGTTTTGAGAATCAAAGAGGTAATATGTATAAAAGCACTTTTTATAGTACCCAGGACATAGAAATCTTGGATACAAGTTGCTGTTGTTTTATCTGGGCAGCTGTTTTGAACATTCTTCCCTTCCTACACATTGCCTAATACCCCTCCACCCCTAAAAACACTTGGCAGATAACTTCATCCATGTCACAGAGAAAGTGTCAGACAGAAGCTCCCTTAAATTCCAGCCCTTCCTCTAACCTCTGTGCTACCATACTGGCCTTTCCACCGTGGTATATTAGTACTTAGAACATATTACAGTTACTGTATTTTGCCCACTAAGCTGCTAACTCTTTGAAGTCAGGGACTGAGTTATTCATTTGTATCCCCTAACACTTTGCACAGTACCTGGTATATGGCAAATATTCAATAAATGTTGATTCAATAAATCATTGTTGAATGAACAGTCTTGGGCCTTAATATCCCTCTCTCACAGTAAGAAGGATCTTCTTTCTTTTCCTATACAATTTCATTGCTTGTGTGATCCTATCCATCCCTTCGTATCTACTCTTTCTCCACCAGTTATCCTTTGTCTTTCGCATATTTTCAACCTTTCAGTGCAGCCAAAAAGTATGTTCAAGTCTTCCATTTAAAAGCGTTTCTCTGGCCGGGCTCAGTGGCTCACGCCTGTAATCCTGGCACTTCGGGAGGCCAAGGCAGGCAGATCACCTGAGGTCAGGAGTTCAAGACCAGCCTGACCAACATGGAGAAACCCCGTCTCTACTAAAAATACAAAATTAGCCGGGGCGTGGTGGCACATGCCTGTAATCCCAGCTACTCGGGAGGTCGAGGCAGGAGAATTGCTTGAACCCAGGAGGCGGAGGTTGCAGTGAGCTGAGATTCCAACATTGCACTCCAGCCTGGGTAACAAGAGCGAAACTCCATCTCAAAAAAAAAAAAAAAAAGGCATATGTCTTAACCACTCTAGAAAACAAATCATCCTTCTTAGCACTACGTCACTTTTGAGTTTGCTTTAGTCAGGCAGCTTCTGTCCCACCACTTCACTGAAACTGCTGACAGGTTACCAGTAATTTCCTAAATGCCACATCCAGTGATCAGTTGTATTCTGCTTGTGCTTTCTGTATCAAATTACTGACTGCTCCCTTCCTGAAAAGCTGTCTTTGACTTTCGTAATGCCATTCTGATTCCCATCTACCTTTTTAACCATTGTGTCTCAATTTTAGTGGCATCTTTTTCTTACTCTATTCCTTTTATCATTATTCTTTTTAATTCTGTCTCTCAAAAAACTGTGAGATTTGATCTCTCTGTTCTTCTCTGTGTGACTGCCTTCTTCTTAGGTTCTCGTCTCCTCTGAATTATCCTAACAGTTTTCTCTCCGATTATCTCCGTGCCTCCCTTTCCAGGTTCTCCACACCACCCTTTCCAGTCCATTGACTGCCCTGTTGCCAAAGCAATCCTTTGTAAAGTTGCTGATTCACTGCTTGCAATCCTTACATGGTGTCGTCTGTAGGATAAAACACAAACTCTCCAGTTAGGCATTCCTTACCCTTCCCCATTTATTTCAGATTACTAACAGTGTTTTAGATATGTCGTTTAGTTCCCTGGCTTTTGTCCTATGATTATGTTGGTCCCTTTTTTTCTGGAATTCCTTTCTTCCCAAATCTGCCTAGGAAATTCCTCACAACTCTACAAGATGTAGCTTCTCTATGAAATCTTGTGCCTTATCTTGAATTGACAACCTCCTTATTTCTCCTTAAATCTGTTGCAGTACTAATTCTACTGAGTGGTACTTGTTTACTCATAGTTTCCCCTCCCTGCCTTCCTGCGTGGTGAGCTCTTTAAGAGCAAGAATATATTTTAACTATTTTCCACTCCCAGGGACTGATGCATAGTAAGCATTTAGTAAAATTTTAATGAATGAGAATACATGCTATATGCTCTTAATTGTGATATAAACCTGAAAACTTAAGAATTTGCTACCTAGAAAATATATGTATGTATATATGTATGTGTATATATGTATGTATATATATGGAATATATAGTTTTGCCCAACTATGCAAGATGATGCATACTCATTTGGTCTTTTGTTTGCTTATGATCTCATCTTACCAGAAAATAATATGAGGGGAGTATAAGTTAAAAAGTTTTAAGAGGATACTGCAGAGGTGTGGTCCAAGACTAGCACTATGTGTCAGCAGCTTCATTCATTTCTCTGCTCATTCCAAACAATAAGGATACCAGGCAGGGAAAGAAACTACATTATTGCTTTTAATATAGATCTTTGTAGCTGCTTCTGCATGTTGTTAACATATTACATAGAAAGTTTTAATTTTAACTTTTAAAAGTTGTGAACTATTTAAAGAAAAATAATAGATACCAGTGTATCTACCACTGAGCTGAAGAAACAGAAGTCCTGTTTGTGTTTCCTCAATTGGATATTCTTGTTTTTTTTTTTTTTTTGAGAGGGAGTCTCACTCTGTCGCCCAGGCTGGAGTGCAGTGGCACGATCTCGGCTCACTGCAACCTCCACCTGGGCTCAAGCAATTCTCCTGCCTCAGCCTCCCGAGTAGCTGGGACTACAGGCATGCGTCACCATGCCTGGCTAATTTTTGTATTTTTAGTAGAAATGGGGTTTCGCCATGTTGGCTAGGCTGGTCTAGAACTCCTGACCTCAGGTGATCCACCTGCCTCAGCTTCCCAGAGTGCTGGGATTACAGGCGTGAGCCACCGTGCCCGGCCTCAATTGCATAGTCTCACCTTCTCTCTAGAGGGAACCACTATAATGAAATTTCTAAATTATTCACTTCTTTCTTTATAGTTTTATCACATATATATAATCACATATGATGATATGATTATCATTTAGTTTCATTTATTTCATACTTTATTTAATTGGAATCATATTGTATGTATTCTTCAGTACTTGCCTTTTGTTATTATTTTTGCGATTCATTTTTATTGCTATATTATAGTGTTCCATTGTATACATATACTGCAACTTATTCACTCTCCAATTAATAAACTTAATTTCCAGCTTTTTATTACGGACACTGCTGATATGAACATGTTCTGGATACACATGTCTGAGAGTTCCTTTGGTACAATAGTTCTCAGCTAGGTTTAGCACTGACCCCATAGGGGACATTTAGAAATTATGGAGGTGTTTTCATTGTTAACAGTGATTGTGGGGCATTTCAGTTGTCGAGTGGGCAGGAGAAAGGGGTGACAACTATACTGAAGTGCAAAGCACAGATTGTTTCACCAAAATGCCAACAGTGATTTACTGAGTAACAGGGTCCCAGGATTCTTTGGAATGGAGTCACTCTATTTTAGGGAATAGCCACATTAAACTTTCCTAGGTAATGGCATAATTGTTTTCTATAGCTGATATACCTCCACTAGACTGTGAGAATACCCATTGTATACTTCCTTGCCAATGCTTGATCAGACTTTTAAAATGTTCCAAATCTGGCAATATGAGAAGGCATTTCATTGTGTCCTCAGTTTCATTCATCAGGTAACTACTGAGGCTGAATGTTTTTCTATCTGTTTATTAGCTGTTGTTATATGTTTCGTTCGTGGAGGTTTTTGTTTTGTTTTTTTAGAGACAGAATCTTGCTTATTGCCCAAGCTAGTGTGCAGTTGTGTGATCATAGCCACTGCAGCCTCAAACTTCTGGGCTCAAATGATCCGCCTGCTTCATGCTCCCAAGTAGCTGGGATTGCAGACGTGAGCCAGCATGCCTGGCTTGTATTTTTTTTTTTTTTCACCCATTTTTCCACTGCGTATTTGTCTTTTTCTTAAAGACTGAATATAAAAAGTTTTTTCTTATTGAATTCTTTGTATATTCTGGATACGAGTCCTTTGGTTAACAGCAAATATCTTTTGCCAGTTTGTGGTTTGTGTTTTTACTCTCTACAGGGAAGTAAACAGCTATTTCATCAAAAGCATATAAATTTTAAATTTATTATTTATTTATTTTATTTTATTTTATTTATTTATTTATTTTTTTGAGATGGAGTCTCGCTCTGTCGCCCAGGCTGGAGTGCAGTGGCGGGATCTCGGCTCGCTGCAAGCCCTACCTGCCGTGTTCACGCCATTCTCCTACCTCAGCCTCCTGAGTAACTGGGACTACAAGCGCCTGCCACCACGCCTGGCTAATTGTTTTTTTGTTTGTTTGTTTGTTTGTTTTTTGTATTTTTAGTAGAGACGGTGTTTCACTGTGTTAGTCAGGATGGTCTCGATCTCCTGACCTTGTGATGCATCCGCCTCAGCCTCCCAAAGTGCTGGGATTACAGGCGTGAGCCACTGTGCCCGGCCAATTTTAAATTTAAATTCCAGTATTCTTTTACATTTTCTTTTGAAAATTTTAAACTTTTTCTCTTTTTACATTGAAGTCCTTGCTGTAGCAGTAAATAAGTTCATGTTGTGAGGTAGAGATCCTTTATTTATTTATTTATTTATTTATGTATTTATTTAACAGTTGGGGGTCTTGTTTTGTCACCCAGGCTAGTGTGCCAGTGACACAATCATAGCTCACTTCTGGCACAAATTCCTGGGCTCAAGCCATCCTCTTGCCTCCTAAGTAGCTGGGACTACAGGCATGCACCACCACACCCAGCTAATTTTTTAAAAAACTTTTTGTAGAGATGGGGTCTTGCTACATTGTCCAGACTGGTCTTGAGCTTCTGGGCTCAAGTGATCCTCCCACCTTGGCCTCCCAAAGTGCTGGGATAACAGGTGTGAGCCCTACCATGCCTGGCTATTTATTTTTTAATACGGAATTGAATATCTTTTTCAACTGGTCTGCAATACCAGCTTTATTTTATATGAGGCTTACGCATATGCCTGGCTCTCTATTCTGCTTCTGTTGTCAGTTAAATATTCCTTGCTAATCCCACATTTTTTCAATTACTTATAATAAGCCTCATAAGTCTTGATAGTTGCTAGGGTAAGTTCTGCTATTTGGTGGTTCTTCTTAAGGAGTGTGTACCTTGGTTATTCTTGGACCTTTGCTCTTCATAACTTATTTGTATTACTTTTGATTTCCTATATAGTGATTTATATTACCTGAAAATAATAGCTATTTTGTTTCTTTTTAGTCCTTGTATCTTATTTCTTCTCTTGCTGAACTGGTTAGTATCACCAATATAATTTGAATAGAAGATATGATAGGGAACATTTTTCTGATCGTAAAGAGAATCGTTTTTGTTTCAACATCAAGTAGGTTGTTATTAAAGGTTTTTGACTCATTCACATTGCTGGTAGTTGATGCTAGCTGTAGGTTGGAGCAATTCCATTTGGCCTCTCCAATTTGGTGGTCTCTGAGTAATCTAACTTCTTGCCATAATGGCTGGTTTCCTCCAACGTAATCAATCCCGGAAGCACTAAGTGGAAACTACTCAGCTGTTTCTGGCCTAGCCTTGAAAGTTACTCAGAGTCACTTCTCTTGCATTCAGTGGTTATAAGTGAGTTACTAAAGTTGGTTCAGAATCAAGGGGAAGGAATATAGACCCCTGCTTCCCCATGGCAGGAATGTTGAGGAATTTGTTGACATGTTTTAAACCTCCAAGCCCAGAGTATGGAATTTTCATAAATGTTTTCCCATGTGTGCTTAGGGATATTATCTTGGTAACAAGGTTTTATATATGTCCATTAATTTAGGTTTGTCAGTTCTGTAGTTGAAATCCATATTCTTACTGCTTGCCTACTTGATAGCTTGGTTTTTGTTGTCTGCTTATGTGATCAATTATTCTGATCACTCAATTACTGAGAAGTAGTTTTTTATATGTTGAAGTTAGTGTTATTAGGTGCATACAAATTGTTTTATCTTGCTGCTGAATTGAGCCTTTTATCAATATGTAGGGTCTCTTTTATTGGCTTCTGCCTTGAAGATTATTTTATCTGTTATGTTGATAGCTCCACCATTTTTCTTCTGTTAAGTATTTGCCTGGTTTATCTTTATCATTTTACTTTCAACATTTCTGTGTCCTCACATGTTAAGTATGTGTCTTATAAGGAGCATACAGCTGGGCGTATGTATTAATATTTTATCTGAAGAGTTAAGCCCATTTATATTGATCACATTTAGCTGATGTATTTTTGTTCTTTCTTATTTTTACCTTCTATTCAACTTGCTTTTCCTAGTCTTCTTTCCCTTCATTCGTGTCCTATTTTTGGGGATTAAGAATCCATCTCTTACTCAATTTTCTTTCCCTCTGTGTTTGTTTGGGATGTTTCTATATTTCTTTTCTTTTTTTTTTTTTTTGAGACAGTCTCGCTTTGTCACCCAGGCTGGAGTGCAGTGGCGTGATCTCGGCTCACTGCAACCTCCGCTTCCCAGGTTCAAGTGATTCTCCTGCCTCAGCCTCCTGAGTAGCTGGGACTACAGGCGCATGCCACCATGCTCAGCTTATTTTTCGTATTTTTAATAGAGATGGGGTTTCACCGGGTTAGCCAGTATGGTCTCGATCTCCTGACCTCGTGATCCGCCCCCCTCGGCCTCCCAAAATGCTGGGATTACAGGCGTGAGCCACTGTGCCCAGCCGGGATGTTTCTATATTTCTATTCTTATTGTATACTCTGAAAATTTTATCCTGCATATTTAACTTAAAATCTAATATTGATGTCTTTATTGACTTTCTGATTAATAGAAGGCCCTTAGAATGCTTTGACTGCATCCACTACCATCCTGATTTATATACTAGTTTTGTGCACGGTTTGTTACATCTTGGTTTTTTAAATCTCACAAATCAAACATATAGTCCGTTTTGTTTAGATTTACCCACATTTTTAACTTCTATTTTGCCCACCCTTCTTTCCTGAATCTAAGGGCTTTCTTTGAAAATAATTTCCTTTTTCCTGCAGTATATCCTTTAGAAGCCCATTTAGTGAAGACCTGTTGGTCATAAACAGATTTTTTGAGACCTGGGTTTAAAGTGCATTGTTCTAGAGAGGATTTGCATTTGCTTCTGTTATTTGTCTCTAGGCACTACCAATCTAAGACACTTTAAAATCTTGATTTGGGGTTTTTCAGGCAAACAGATCATATAAATTTAGGCCCTAAACCTGCCTGAATGGAGGACTGTGGTTGGGGCACTCTTGGGAGACTTTTTTTTGGTTTCTTTCCACCCAGCCAAGAGTGAGATGGACATGGCTCCCATTAATCACCCCCTCCCTCTGCAGAGCAGGAGTGTTTTTTTCCTACTTCACAAAGTGATGGAGTTCCCCTTTTAGCATTTTGGCTTGTCTCCTGTGCCCTGCACCTGTTGTCCATTGAAGCCTGGCTTTAGGCAAATGACAACTACTGCATACTTGATTCTCCCTCTGGATTCTTGCTTTCTCATCATTTCTGGCCTCGGAAGAATTTCCTCACTTCCCTGCCAGCTCAGAAGTGAATGTTAAAAGACTTTAAAAAATGTTTGATCAGCAATTTTAGTAGTGCCCTACTGGGAGGAGTTTCTCTGAACATCAGATCCGCCATGTGTTGCTTGGAGGTAGCTTCGAGCAATTAAGTGGATTATGCTTCATAATAAATTTTTAGTGGGTGCAGTGGCTTACACTTGTAATCCCAGCACTTTAGGTAGCCGAGGCAGTGGATCACCTGATGTCAGGAGTTGAAGACCAGCCTGCCTATCATGGTGAAACCCCATCTCTACTAAAAATACAAAAATTAGCTGGGCATGGTGGCGGGTGCCTGTAATCCCAGCTACTCCAGAGGCTGAGGCAGGAGAATTGCTTGAGCCCAGGTGGAGATTACAGTGAGCCGAGATCGTGCCACTGCACTCCAGCCTGGGGGACCAAAAAAAAAATTTTTTTTTGTTAACGAATTTTACTAAGAGTTCCTTTTCTAAGAAATTGGAGTATTAGGCCGGGCGTGTTGGCTCATGCCTATAATCCTAGCACTTTGAGAGCCCAAGGTAGGCAGATCACTTGAGTCTAGGAGTTTGAGACCAGCCTGGGCAACATGGTGAGACTCCCGTCTCTACAAAAAAAGAAAAATTAGCCAGGCATAATGGCACACAACTGTAGTCCTGGCTACTCAGGAGGCTGAGGTGGGAGGATCATTTGAGCCCAGGAGGTCAAAAGGCTACAGTAAGCAGTGCTCATGCCACTGCACTTAGCCTGGGTGACAGAGTGAGACCCTGTCTCAAAAAAAAAAAAAATTGGATTATTAAATATATTCATTGAAATAATCTTCAACCTAAAATATATAGTTTCTAGATTATTCTTTCAGAATAACGTGTTTTTATATCATACTTTAAGAACAACTTATAATGAAATAATGCCTAAAACTTCACAGTCATCATTGTTATACTTTTAACTCTTCCGAGACATAAATTTACTTTTATCATATATATTATTTTTTATTTTATTTATATTTTTATTATATTTATTTTATTACATTTTATTTATAAATAAATTTATAAATATTTATAAATTATTTTATAAATATATTTATAATAAATTTATAAATTATAAAATTATTTATAAATATTTTATTTATATTTTATTATATTTATTTTATTTATTATATTTATTATTTATTTTATTTAATCATAGATTTGGAAGTTAGAAATATTTTCAGGGTTAAGATAATTGTGTCCCTTTTAACCTTTAGAGGCGTAGTTTTCTTTCAGCAACTGTAAAGTAAAAATGAAATGTTATCTCTCTTTAACCAGCTGTCTAATCTGCTATTGTCATAATTTCTAAATTGCCCCCTTTTTTCTTTCTAATTTTTATTTTTAGAGGAACTTTGCATTTAATAAGGTGGCTTTTCCCCCCCTTTATTGCTGAGGGAAAATATATCACATCTTGAAGTACATAGGAAAGTTTAGAGTCTTAACTTATTTTTTCACTTATTCCTAGTCCTCTGGGCCTAAAAATCAAACATTTGATTGAGTGGATTAAGCAAGGATATATTATGTTGTATGCTTTTCCTCCCAGTTGGTGAGTGTTATGTGTGTGTGTGTATGGACTTGTACATAATATATAATTGGTTAGAAGTGTTTTTTTATGTGTACTTATTGCAGCAGATACTTCTAATATTAATAGACTGTTTTCACTTTATACATTTGTGAAAACCAAGTGACCTGTTATTCTGCTTTTATTCTCTTAGGGTAATACTGAACAACCTGTCCAAACTAGCAAGATTGGACTTGGAAGAAGAGAGTATCAGAGTTTACAACATCGCCATCATTCTCAGCGTTCTAAGTGCCGTCCACCTAAGGGCATGTATTTAACCCAGGAAGATGTGGTAGCAGTTTCCTGTAGTCCCAATGCAGCCAACACCATCCTGAGGCAACTGGACATGGAGTTGATCTCTCTAAAACGTCAGGTATTTTATAAAAATAATATTTTTAATGATTCTGTGCATTTTGGCTATCCGCTTTTACCTTTTACCTAGGTTGAGCTCAGTTGTTTGCAGATTTTTCTCAGCCATCCACTTATGCAGGTTTCATTTTTTAAAGTTTATCTTAAGTCCAACTTAGAAGATACCTCTGCCTGTTCTAGATTTGAATCCCAGCATTGCTGCCTGTTAGCTCTGTGGTCTTGGGCAAATTAACCTCTGTAAGCTTCAATGTTCTATCTATAAAATCGGGGATAATAATCATTCTTCTCTTGCAGGTTATTGGGAATTATTTGCAGTGATACATGTAGATTGTTTAGTAGTGCTTGGCACATTTTGAGTGCTCAGTGAGTGATGGTTGTTGTCTTCATCATCATCATCATCATTATCAGTAGTAGTACTAGTAGTATTGTAAGGGCAGCATCATCATAATCAGATAGTAGTTAAAAATCAGCATCTAGAGTCAGTGAACCTGTTAAGTTCTAACCCTGGCTATACCATCTCTTCCTGTGTAACCTTAGAGGAGCTCTTTAACTTCTTTCAGCCTCAGTTTTCTCATCTGGAAATGTGGATAATAGTATAGTGGTTGAGAGGAATTAAACAAGATAATATATGGTAAGTGCTTAAAACAGTGCCTGGCGCATATTAAGCTCAGTTATTCGTTGCTATTAGATCTCTGGCCTTTCTTAGTTGTCTTTTCCTATTTTTTGTCTGTTTTGTTATTTTTTTCTTATCCCTTAAATCTAGATATTCTTCTAAATCTGTACTTTCTTGGTCTATATCAACCAACCCTATACCTATGCCAGTGACTTCTGAATCTTATTTCTCAAGCTGTGGCTTTTCTCAAGCTCCTTAGCTATAGTTCCAGCTGCCTGCTAGGTCTTCCCCAAAAGATTTTTTTCTCTGTTTCCTGTCTGTTGAAACATCAGAATCATCTTTTATTCATCCCCTGCTGTTATCCCTTTCCCAACACATGTAAACCAAAGTGGTAACCAAGTTATGTGAGTTTTGTCTCTGAAATTTCCTTTAAATCAATTCCCTCTTTTTTATCTCATCACTACTGCCCATTTAGGCTCTTGCTATCGCTTGCCTGACAATAACTATCTTGTGGATTCTTTTTTTCTCCTCATTTTTTTTATTTTAATTTTTTGTAGAGAAACGTTCTTGCTATGTTACCCAGGCTTGTCTCAAACTCCTGGGCTCAAGCAATCTTCCTGCCTGCCCCTCAAAGTGCTGGGATTATAGGCATGAGCCACCACGCTCGGCCTCTTGTTGATTCTTTCTATTACTTCTCTTTAGCTGGAGGTTACACATTGTTGCCAGTGTTATCTTTTTAAAGCACTGGTCTGATCACTGTCACTCATCTTAAAGCTCTTTGTTAGTTTCTACTTGCCTTTAGCAGGTTACAGTAGAGGTAGACAGGGATTTATAAGAAAATCATGTTAAGAAATTTGAAATTCATCCTGAGTTAGGAAACTGCTGAAGGACTTTAAGGAAAGGTGGACCATGGTCATATTTACATTTTCCAGCTATATCTTTTGCATTTTCTTGTTTGTTTGTTTGGTTTTTTTTTTGCTTTTATAGTTGCTTTAGTGATTACAATATTCATCCTTAGCTTATCACTGCATATTTAGTTAATATTACAGTAGTCCTCCCTTAATCCGTAGTTTCACTTTCCATGGTTTCAGTTACTTGCAGTACAGTACAATAAGATATTTTGAGAAACAGACTATATTCACATAGCTTTTATTACAGTATATTGTTATAATTTTTCTATTTTTAATTAGCTATTGTTATTCTCTATTGTGCCTAATTTATAAACTAAACTTTATCACAGGTATGTATATATAGGGAAAAACAGTACAGGTTGAGCATCCCTAATCTGAAAATCTGAAATGCTCCAAAATTTGAAACTTTTTGAGCACTGACATAATGCTCAAAGGAAATGGTCATTGGAGCATTTTGGATTTTGGGTTTTCGGATTAGGGATGTACAACTGGTATATATTATGCAAATATCCCAAAATCCCCTGAAATTTGAAACACTTCTGGTTCCAAGCATTTTGGATAAGGGAATACTCAACCTGGATATGTTTTGATTTGGTACTATCCACAGTTTCAGGCATCCACTGGGAGTTTTGGACTGTATCCCCTGCGGATATGGGAGGACTACTATATTCTGCTTACAAAATGTAAGAACCTTGCAACAGTATAGTGTGGGATCAAGATTCTCTATCTTAAACATGTTCAGATTTTTCTATTCCTTGGTCCTGGTTATTCACCCAAACTGCTTTTCTGGTTCTCTAACATAGGCCACATTTGCTTCCTCTGCTTTCTTACCAAAACTTATTCTCCAACCCTTTCTAATCTAGCTTCTGCCCCGTATGGTATTCCAGTTCTACTGAAACACCTCTCCGAAGATCATTTATGGGCTGACATGGTGGCTCATGCCTGTAATCCCAACACTTTGGGAGGCCAAGACAGGAACATCACTTGAGGCCAGGAGTTTGACACCAGCCTGAGCAACATAGTGAGACTTCATCTCTATAAAAAAAATTTTAAAAATAGCCAAACGTGGTTGTGTGTATCTGTAGTGTAGTCCTAGCAACACAAGAGAGTCTGAGGAGAGAGGATCGCCTGAGCCTAGGAGTTCAAGGTTTACAGTAGAAAAAAAAAATCACTTATGAACAAGTGGCCAACATCTAATGCTGCCTTCCTGGTTTTTAGCTCCTTTGACTACTCAGTAATGTTTGACACTGTCAGCCATGTCTTTCTTTTTGGAATTTCTTTCACTTGACTTTGTGACTCTCTGGAGTATGTGTGTTTATAGTACATATTTAGAAGGCAGCTATCCTCACCACTATACCACCAACGCATCTCATATTTGGTTAAATGCTTAGCCTTTAGTCAAACTATGAATGCAAGATGCCTAACTTCCAAACCACAGCAATCCTCTTTAGAAAACTTCTAAATCATTTGCTGTAATACTTTAAATGCACTAAAAACATAAAGGAATAAAGTGTACTCAGTCACCTGTATTCATACTTCATTCTCAGTACTACTACTCCTACACTTAGGGACTATTTTTATTGATTTTTTTAGAAGGCACTTTAAGCTTTAACTTCCTAACTTGGTTATTCATTTGATGTGTGACACAGTAAAGGTTTGCACTCATGGGTTTACAAATCCTGTTAACCACTGCTACTTTTATGTCACAAACATCTCATATGCAGTGTTCAAACTGAGTTCTTCCACACTCACCATAGTTATCTGTTCCACGTTTTGTATTTTCTGTCTCAGTGAGTAGTGCCACATACTCTCAATTACTGAAGCCAGTGACCAGTTAGCCTCAATTCCCCCTAATTCTCCACAATCAGGTATTTACAAAGATGTCTTGGCCGGGTGCAGTGGCTCATGCCTGTAATCCCAGCACTTTGGAAGGCCGAGGCAGGTGAATCGCGAGGTTAGGAGTTGAAGACCAGCCTGGCCAACATGGTGAAACCCCGTCTCTACTAAAACTACAAAAATTAGCCAGGCATGGTGGCAGGCTCCTGTAATCCCAGCTACTCAGGAGGCTGAGGCAGGAGAATAGCTTGAATCCGGGCTGCAGAGGTTGCAGTGAGCCGAGATCGCGCCACTGCACTCTAGCCTGGGCGACAGAGTGAGACTCTGTCTCCAAAAATAAATAAATAAATAAATAAATAAATAAATAAGTCTTAATTTTGTTTCCAAGGTATTTCTTTAATCTCTGCATACCACTACCATCCTTCCTTCATTCCTACAGTTTTAATGAAAGTTTTCTTAATTATTTATTATTTCTCACCTGGATTGTTAAATTAATTTCCATCCTCTTTACCCTATTTTCTTCTTCACATTACTACCAGAAGTGTCTTTCTAAAAGGCATATATGGTCATTTTGTTCCCTTGCTTAAAAATCCTTTAGGTTTCCTTCAATCTTTAGGCAAAATTAAAATTCCTCGGTCTGGCCCCAGTCTAACTTCTTGCCTTTTCACCTTAGGGCTTTTCTGTCTTCCTAAGCGTTATTCTGCCTGGAATGCAGTCCCTCCTCCCAAGCTTGTCTGCCAGTTTAATTCTTTAAAACTCAGTTTAGCTGTCCTTTTCTTTGGAACACTTTCCCTAATCTTCCCCACCACCTGTTCATCAACATATATAGAAGCACATTTACTCTCTCATTCTCTCTCTTTCTCTCTCCAAGTCTATGTTAGGTGTTTTAGCGTTTATCATAGGTTTATGTTTACTTATCTCCCCACTAGTCTATGAAATCCTCGAGAATTCAGACTTTACATTTTATCTCTGTATGTCTATCTAACATGGCCAGCTGACTACCCTTGAACCATCCTAGATTTTATGCATTTTAGCTGTGGTTTTAAGATCTCTAGTGAAAATAGTTCATAAATTATAAGTATTTCGTTGTCCACACTAGGGGGGAAAAACAGAGGAAAAAAGTAAACAATCCTAACCCTTAACAGTCTAAATGGAGACTAATAATATTGCTAGTAGAGTAAAAGTTAAAAACTTGGTATAGTTTAAATTCAGGTTGTATCTCCTAGCCTTAGGAAGGTTTCTTAACTTCTCTGTGCCTTATATTCCTCATCTGTAAAACTGTTATAATATAAGTAGAGTCTGTTCTGCTATAACTTTTTTTGAAAATGTGGATTTGTCCTAATGCAGTTAATATACTCTGGAAAAATTTGAGCATAACATGAATTTTTTGTTTGTTTATGTATGATTTTTGTCAGCAAAACAAAATGTACCCAGCTGAACTGAGCGCACACACATCTCAAACATGTAGCAGCTACCTCAATTCACTGTATGTTATGAACCATACATATATGGTGTTAAAACTTTTCATCTGATTTCAAGTAACCCTCCTACCACTTGCATAATAATTCACAAACTACAACCATTTTGACTCCCACTTCCATAAGCAACCTTCAGGTTTTTTTTCAAGGTAAAGTACTGTCTTTGTTGTAGCATTTATGGATTAAAAACAAATCATTTAGATTGTGTAAAACTGTGTTGCCATTTTTATTAGGTTCCTGTCTTATGTGTCATTGAAGTTTTTTAATGTTGTGTCCCAACCTCTTTTACCCTACAAGCCCTGTGGTTTTTATTATGAATTTTGCATAGCACACACTGACTTTTCTTTCTTTCTTTCTTTTTTTTTTTTTTTTTTTTTGAGACGGAGTCTCGCTGTGTCGCCCAGGCTGGAGTGCAGCGGCGCGATCTCAGCTCACTGCAAGCTCCACCTCCTGGGTTCACGCCATTCTGCTGCCTCAGCCTCCTGAGTAGCTGGGACTACAGGCGTCCGCCACCACGCCCGGCTAATTTTTTGTATTTTTAGTAGAGACGGGGTTTCACCATGTTAGCCAGGATGGTCTTGATCTCCTGACCTCGTGATCCGCCTGCCTTGGCCTCCGAAAGTGCTGGGATTACAGGCGTGAGCCACCGCACCCAGCCTTTTTTTAAGACAGGGTCTTGCTTTGTCGCCTAGGCTAGAGTGCATTGGCATAATCACAGCTCACTGTAACCTTGAACTCCTGGGCTTGAGCAATCCTCCCACCTCAGCCTCCTGAATAACTAGGACTACAGGTTCATGCCACCATGACCAGCTAATTTTTTTTTTTTTTTTTTTTTTTCATAGAGACAGGTTCTCACTATATTACCAGGGTGGTCTCAGACTCCTGGCCTCCAAAAACACTAGGATTTTAGGCATGAGCTACTGTACCTGGCTAGTTCAGTGACTTTTAATGTATTTATCATGTTATAGCAGAACTGATTGTACTTACCTCACAGAGTGGTTTTGAGAATTAAGTGATTTATTACATATAAAGGACTGAGAATGATGTTTTATATATAATAAATATCTAATAAATGTTAGCTACCATCATCATTACTATTGGAAAAATTCTTATTTAGTCAAAACACTATGGTAATGAGAAAAATTGGTGGAATTTAATTCCTATGTATGCCAGTTGTCTTTGGTTATAAAAGTTGTTGCTAAAAGATATTCAAAACCATGATATTCAAAGATATTCAGAGTGTTTTAGTCTGTTAGATGTTTAATTAGTTCATACATGTATAAGTTGAATTAGTGGCATGTCATACCCCAAGTGTGATTAGTATGACTATTCTCCTAAAATAAAATTTAAGAGGGGTTTGGAATATATTCTTTTCACTTAATTGAGTACTCACAAATTTACCTAAGTACGCGATCTGATTCACATTTGGGGTTATTTTGTTGAAGGTTCAGAATGCTAAGCAAGTAAACAGTGCACTTAAACAGAAAATGGAAGGTGGAATTGAAGAATTCAAACCTCCTGAGGTATGTTATTGAAGGATACATGTGATTAAGTATAGTGAAAACTTGTTTTTTCAGTTATCTAGTGCCCAAGTACTATTTTGGTCACATGCATCATTAATACTTTGAAGGTTTCATAATATGGATAATTTATTATGTCTCTTTTTATTTAGATGATCTTATGAGGCTTGGTTAATCATTTTGTATTTAAGTTAAATTATTTATTTCCTGCCCTTAGAAATTCATAGCAAGCCAACAATTAGGGAAAATAGTAGTAGGAACAGTGTATGTGAAACTAGAAGCTCATTGACGAGCAAGCTAGTGTATTTCTGGGTCTACAGCAATGTTTGCTGAAAGCCCTTTCCTGCTTGTGTGAATTGGTAACACGGCAAGAAAAATATCATGAAAACAAGCTAGATTATTTTAACGAATTTTTATTTTAATTTAAGATAATTGTCTTTGGCTCAGCTTCCACTTATGATTTTAGTATGTGGACTTACATTCTTGTACTTACAAAAACAAGGTATAGATTGACCATTTTCTCAAGTCTTCTATTTCAGTTGAAACCTAAATATGTTTTTGATACCTGTGGTAATTATAGGGGTACTTAACATTCCCTTAAGGTCCAATCAGGTCTTTTTCTAGGAGCTTCTATTATATCTTTTTTCTCTCTTTAACATTTCCTTATTATGCTTCATATCCTGGATTTGCCTTTCTGTGTTTGTGATAATCAAATAATCTTATTTGTTCTTATTGGGACTTTTTTTCCCCAGAAGGGGAAAAGAACTTGGTTGACTGAAACATCTACAGATGAAATTTATGTGAGGGGCTATGGGGAGGCAGAACAGTAGTACTTCAGAAATTATGTACCATATGCCATCTTAGTCATCAGTGTCTTTCAGAAAGGAAGACTTATGAAAAAAGTTGTTTTTCACTGTTTTGAATAATCTCTTTCAAGAAGGTTAGGTTATGGAAAAGAGTGAAAAATAATACAAAGACTGATATCTCATTCCTTGACCACAGGTAGACTGACAAACATTCTAGTAACAATTATTTAAGGATAATATAATACCAAAAATTACTATTTTATTTTGTTATATTATTGCAACAAAAATTATTTTAATTTTGTATTATGCACTAAAATGCATGAAAGCAAACAATTTTAACTGTCTATAATTTTGTAATCTAAAATGTAAATAAAATACCGCAGATATTAAAAACATTATGGGAATAGCAGGAAGAACTTGATACTAGTAAGTGTGAAAAATAAAACATTGAAATTCCTAGGAAAATGTGTCTTATCAAAATTGCCTGAAAAAGAAAGAAAAGCTGAATAATTAGTAATCATTAAATAAAACGAAAGAATAATTAACATTTTTCTCTCACAAGAAAACTCCAGGCCCAGACAGTTTTACAGAAAACATTTACTAAGTTTTCAAGAAAAGGATAATTCTAATCTCATATTTTCCATAAAATTATAGGACAGTCTCACTCATTAACTTTATATAAAGAAAGATGTTAAAGTCCAGTAGCATTTTATAGCTTCCCTATGTGCTATCTCATTTGATTTTTATGTAAATCCATACAGATAGGTGAACCAGATACTATTATTTTACATGAGGAAACTGGAAATCAGGGAGGTTAACCAACTTGTTCAAGGTGACAGAACTAGTAAATAATGAAACTCTGGCTATAGCTCATCTTTTCAGAGTCCTGATTGGACTTCTATATTAGTATATGTCATGTTGCCTCTTACATTTGGAAGTTTTTATGTAATAGCAAAATTGTATATTACATTTCCACATTTTAATGCAGCTATTGGGTGAGAAGTTATCAGATATTTATTGTAATTTTTGATTTATTATAAAAATAATGATCAAAATAAAATAACCAAAATGTTAACACTCCACCATCCATATACTGAAGTTTGGATATTACTTTGGGTTGATTTATTGAACTTATATGATATGAAAAATGTATATATGTTGTATCATCTAGAGAGTCCTCAGGATATACTTATATTTGTCATATTGTTCTTACTGCTTTGGAGAGGAAGGCAACTTGAATAGATGTGTTTCAGATTAACAAGTACAGTAAAGAACTTGAAGAATCAGGTAATCTATCTCCTTACCTTTAGTTTAAACCATATCTAATCAAAGAATGTTAATAAGCTTTGGAATAATTACAATAAGCCATCAAGTGAAGTAACTCTACTAAAAGTAAGCTGTTAGTAAAGTGCTTTACTTATTAATTTGGTTGTATTTCTTATTTTCATTTAGGGAAAAATGGGTTGAAGAAAGTCCATTCACTTCCACAAGTATTTATTGATTAACTGTTTCATATGAGGCACTGTGTTAGGCCCGGTGAGAAGTGTGTGGGAAGGGGGAACACAAAGATGTGGACAAGATGATGTGATTTTTCCACCTGCTTTTTAAAAAAAAAGAACTTGCAGTCTAGATGTTATAAGACAAACTGATCAAAGTTGTATGATAGATTTATAAGCAAAGTATACAGGGAAACAAGTGGGCATTATTCATTCTGGCAAGGACAGTTAGAGAAGACTTCTTAGAGGGGGAATACTGCAGCTGAGGTTTGAAGGATAAGAGGGATTTTTTTGCACATACAGAAAGGACCATAGAGGTCATTCCAGGCAGAGGGAATAATAGCAATGGTTTAGTGTTGAACAGTACATTCAAAAATATAAATCTAGTAGGGGAAAATTAAAAGCACTTTTAAAAATGAGTCAACAGGTATTCCCTGAGCACTTATTATGTGCTCATTATTGTGCTAATTAATAGCTATTGAGGATTCCATGGAAATGTAAAACAGTCTTTTCTCAAAAAGCATATTGTCTACTTAGGAAGGCAAACTTGGATGCAGAGAAGGAATGAACATGGTATATGAGAGATGTTAGCAGGGTTGAGTAGGGGCATCTTTGTGATAGACATCAGTGGGCAGGGTCAGAGTATAAAGTCCTTGTGAAAGCCAGAAAGAGGGCCAGGCGTGGTGGCTCATGCCTGTAATCCCAGTATTTTGGGAGGCCGAGGCGGGCGGATCACGAGGTCAGGAGATCGAGACCATCCTGGCTAACACAGTGAAACCCTGTCTCTACTAAAAATACAAAAAAATTAGCCAGGCGTGGTGGCGGGCACCTGTAGTCCCAGCTACTCGGGAGGCTGAGGCAGGAGAGTGGCGTGAACCCGGGAAGTGGAGCTTGCAGTGAGCTGAGATCGCGCCACTGCACTCCAGCCTGGGTGACAGAGTGAGACTCCGTCTCAAAAAAAAAAAGAAAAGAAAGCCAGAAAGAGAAGTTTGTCTTTTAAATTAAGTCAAATGGAAAGACCCTTTAGTTTCTTTAGTACAGAAGGATGTAAAGAAAATTTTTAATTTTAGAAAAGTTATGACATTATTATACAGGATAAATTAGAACAGGGAAACTTGATAGCTGCTAAAATATTAAGCATGTAAGTCGTCAATGATAAAGGGGTATCAGTAGGGTTGGGTATTAGTTATAGGAATGGAAGCAAGTAGTAAACCCAAAGAACATTGCAAGGTAGAAAATTAATATGTCTCCTTGAAAGTATGTGAGAGTGTTGAGGGTGTCGCTGGCATGTCTTCTGCTTTGATTTGTTTTGGATGGAGGTAAATGGGTAGGTGGAGGAAAGATTGATGAATCCAGAAGGAAGAATAAGTGTAACTGAAAAAAGAGTGCTTTTTGAAGCTGTAAATTCCCCATCTATAGTTGTTTTCCTGCAAAGGTAGACGACATCCTTTCATTATGGATGTTGGGTGGAATTTTCAGCATCGAGTAGAAGATTTAATTTGGTGACATTTTCCATCTCTTTCAACTCAGAGATAGTATGAATCTACCACTCACGAAAATGGGAAAGATGTGAAAACAATTTAGCGGGGAAAGGATGGAGTGAAAATGCCGAATTCACTAAGCGTGTCATAGATCGTTCTAGAAGGCTTTTTGGTACCTTTCATATTATTATATATTAGATTGTCTTATTTTATATTATTATGTTATTTTTAAATCAACAGCATTTCAGATAGGTGTTTTTGTAGAAGAATATACTCTGTGATACCATGTAGCTAACTACAGCTACCACGCAGTTTTAGATTCCTAGATATATTCTAGTTCTTTCTTTAATCTTTACCAAAGTTTCTCAGGTTTAAAAGACAATATTAAAATCAATAACTTATGTGAGTCCTGTATATTTAAAATTTTTGACCCTATTTTTTCTTCACTCTTCCCCCTCTTCTGCTTCCACTTGTCACACACTGTTTAATCCTATACAGTTTCAACCGTCCCCTCTGCATTTTTCTTTTTCTTTCTTTCTTTTTTTTTTTTTTTTTTGAGACACTCTCACTCCCATCACCCATGCTGGAGTGCAGTGGCATGATCTCGGCTCTCTGCAACCTCCATCTCCTGGGCTCAGGTGACTCTCCCACCTCAGCCTCCTGAGTAGCTGGGACCACAGGCACACCACCACACCTGGCAAATTTTTTGTAATTTTAGTAGAGACGGGATCTTGCTATGTTGCCCAGGCTGGTCTCAAACTCCTGGGCTCAAGTGATCCACCTGCCTCGGCCTCCCAAAGTGCTAGGATTACAGGTGTGAGCCACCACGTTCAGCCCCTTCTGCATTTTTCCACGGAGCTGCCTCTTATAAAGGTTAGCATTGGCACTGATGACCACATTCCACAACTTTTAACTTCTGATTCCCCTTGCCTTTTTCTGAACCCTTGATATAGATGACTACCCTTCTTTTTCTTCCTTTAACTTTTGAGAGGTTATGTTCTCTTTTATAACTCTTCTTCTGTTCCCTGGTTTGTCTTCTATACATGTAGGCATTCTCCAAGTTGTTCTCAAAATTCATTTCCCCTGTCTTGGATGCACAATCTCATTATTTTACTGTGTTAAAGTCATATCATATGTTCATTTAAATTACACAAATTTATCCAGACATTCAGTCAAATAAAAGAGAGAAAGAATATTTAGCAATAGCAAGTGCAGTAGTGCTGGCAATTCTGCTTACACTCCGTTTATTGAATGTATGCCCCACAATGAGCAGTAGTGAGCTGAGAATTGAGAATCCACTATTTCTTTAGTCAGTCTTAGTTTCTGCATGCCTTCTGTGTGTCTCTTTGAACTGAGGGAGACTCTAGTGTGTATGCGTGCGTGCGTGTGTGTGTGTGTAAAACACTACCCTAAATTCAAGCCAACAGCTTCATCTGTGGTTTAACCGAAAAACTAGTGGTCCACTCCAATGCTGGAGGAATACCTGGCTGTGTGGGTGTGTTGACAGACTGTGTGCCTGTCTCTGGCTACCTTTTTAAAGACATTTCAAGAGTAATCTTGAAAAAAAAATTTAAAAAATAATTATAGGCCAATTTTAGACCTGAGTAAGATATGACTCCATTGTTTTTTCTTATAAAAATTTTCCAGAGTCTTCAAAATTGTGTTTAAATAAATGAATCTGATTTTAGCCTCAAGTGGAACCTGAACTCCACCTGAATGTCGAATACCTCATTCTCATTGTATCCCAAATTAAATTAAATCTTAACCTCACCTTCCCACATCTCCCACATCAGCATTTCTTGATTTCTCAGGTTCTTAACAGCATTGTCCCTCTCCCAGCTTTCCAGGATTAAAGTCTTATTTTAGTTATGATCACACCTCTGACCCCTTGCCCCCCAAAACAAAACACAACTATTGCTTATTAAATTTTGTGTGAACTTATCAACCTTGATTTTTACTACCCTTCCAAAAGTGGATGGCCCTTATCGTATTTTAATTTAGTTAAATATCACCAACTTTCCAGGCTATCACTTCTTACTGACACAAATCCCGTTTTCCCTTACATGTGGATTGCCTTCCCATTATTTGCCTTTCAGAAGCTTTTCCTATTCTAAAACCATCTCAGTCTCCAACCTTTCCTTGTTCTGTTTCCCCACTTAAATCATTGTGACTTTTTCTCCCGTCTTGAAATTCCCCTGTATACTCTGTACTTTTTAACTTTAAAGTTATTTGTATTCATTCATCTTCTGATTTGTAAGCTTTCTGAAGTTTAGATGAAAAAAAATTTTCATAATGCATGTTTTCTTTCATTTTGTTACCTTTTCATTAATGATACCTTTCCCTCCAGTTTCTTTCAGATTTAATAAACATGAATTGATCAACTTTTATTTGCTTAGGCAGTGTGCCAGATGCCTTTTTAGATATAGTCTAAATATATCCTCATATTTAGTTATATTTAATCCTTAGAGCAACCTACAACATAGTTACTGCAAGTTGTGTGTACAGAAGATCCTCGATATCCAACTGGTCATTAATCCATGTAATGCATGGAGAAGCAAAAATTGCCAAACAAGAACACTGACTAATAAACCAATCATTTATAAAATTAGGCTCTACTCACCAACTCTTCCTAATTAGCTGTAGCTGTTATCTGTCCCATTCACTACATCATTATCCTTCTCTGTCACTCTCTTGCTAATACAATGCAAATACAACACAAACCAAAATGAAATTGCGTACTTTGCAAAAGATGAGAAACTTCATGAAGTCTGTTAAACTGCAAGAGAATGACATTAGTCACCTACAGAATTGACAGATGAGTATCCAGCAGAATTAACCATTAAAGAAAAAAGTGATCACTCACAGGCAAGCACTTCACAAAAGAATAATTTGAGAACAAAGTATTAAGAGAGGCCCTTGAGAAAATTATTTCAATAAGCCTTTAAAACAAAAAATGACCCATTTTATGATCATGTAAATTTCAAAGCCAAAGGATGTTGCACCATTGTATAGTCAGAAAAGATACGCCAAAAAATAAAGTGTATTAAACACGTCATTAACTATTTTTAAAAAAACTAATTTCTACAGGTTTTAGTTTCACATTTCAGATTGAACTGCAATCAACCTTTTATTTTCTTACCATTTACTATAAAATATTTTGACCTGTTTTAAATTGATTTCAGTACCAGTTATCCTTGGGTACCAAGGGCCTTTTTTATCCACCTTCCACAGCCAAGGTAGCATCAGATTGCCTGTGCATGAACTCAGTGTGAACTTCCTTAGTGTAAAGTTAGGGTCTCAATTAACAATATATATCCCTTCTGAATAGAGTTCCTCCTCCATTCTTGTTACTTCCCTTTTGGGGGAACATATGTTTACCTAATTTTTCCTATCTCCTTTTTCTTTTTTAACTTTTTTAGATTTGTTGTGCTCTTTTATTACTGTTTCTTTATGTCTCTCATAGTTTTTGTCCTATTCTCCCCTTTCTCTTTTCCTTTTTACTGTTTTTCCTTTGCCTTATCACCAGGTTCCTAACCTTGAGGCGTATCCACTGTCTACTACCTTGCCTGCCCTGCTGTCCCTTTTTAATCTCCTCATCTGGAATACAGTGGTTCGTTTTAGGTTTTTCTCTCCTTAATTCTAACTCCGTTTTTTTACTTTTTCATTTCTCCTCTAACAAATTTTTTTTAACTTTGGGTTTTTGTTTCATTCTTCATTCTGAGTACTTGCACCTCCTTACTTTTGGTGAGAAAGCTGGTGTTACCTAGAACCTCTGTGTGCTATAGAAACTCTTATTGCTAAGACCATAAGTGAGGTAAGACCTAAACGCCCCTTCTCAAAGGAAGCCCTCTTTCTGTTTTGCCCAACATGCCTCGGTATTACACCAAGCCACTTTATCTTGGCAGTTCCTTCTGCAAACCCCTGCATGCTGGTGTAGTTATTTCTGTCCATCTACTGTCAAAGGTCCTTGATTTACCACTCAGTGGGTATACACTAATGAAGTCTGATTAGATATTTGCTGTTGTAATATTACCATACTGAAAATCCTAAATTTAGGATTTTTGTGGGGAGAAATATTGGGGGTGTCTGGAGAAAAAAATATTCTTACCAGGATCACTTTCTGCTTCAGAAATTTTAAGAAATATTTTGGCTGGGCGCGGTGGCTCACGCCTGTAATCCCAGCACTTTGGGAGGCCGAGACAGGCAGATCACAAGGTCAGGAGATGGAGACCATCCTGGCTAACACAGTGAAACCCCGTTGGGAAATGGGAAACTAATAGACTTTCTCATGTTTTGATATCTCTAATTAGAGCATAAATGCGAATGTTGTTCCTTCTTGCAAATTGGTACATTTCCCTTTCATTATCTTTCTGCATGGGTAAAAGGTAACTCAGAATATATATTTTTAATCTTTCTAAAAATGGAATCTTCATGAATCAGAGTTGTAGTAATCTCATGTCTGTGATTTGATGAAAATTTAAAAAAATAAGCGCTTTGGAAAATGTCTGTCTTCATATCCTCATTAGGAAACTTCTCTTTAATTTTGTAGTCAAATCAGAAAATTAATGCCCGTTGGACCACAGAGGAGCAGCTTCTAGCAGTGCAAGGTATATTAAAGATAAGCAGTTATTGTTGTTAATAATTATTTAATTTGTCATGAAAGGTGACTACTCTAGTTCTTCCCTTCCTTTAGAAATTGATCAAGAAAGGGCTCTTGTGTTTATCACAAAGTCCTGGTGACCAGGAATTCTGTGTTGTATTTGTGGATGTGACATACTCAAGTCTATGTGCATTTTGAGTCCTGAACAGCACGTAATGCATTCTCAGCACTAAATAATTGATGGTGATAATTAAGCATGAAAAAGTCACATGGGCTCTCTGTGCTTCTCCTTTGGTATTCCTGCAGTTGGGTTCGTTCTTACTATATATCATTCATTAATAACTCATAGTTAAAAGCATCAATAAACTATAGATGTTTCTGATTTCTCTACTCTGCAAAATAGTGTTTATCTGATAAATGTCAGGATTGAAAATATTAACTATATGTTTAACTTTCAGTGTTTCATACTTCCCTTAAGAGATGTACCACTGAATGCTTAGAAACCTGATTTTAAATAGGTATATTTTTTAAAGGAGACTTAAGAGCGATATCAAAAAATCACATTCAGCATTTTCAATGCACTATTTCTAAGAATGTTTTGTTGAATTATATGGTAGAAGACTTTTTGTATTATGAATACCCATGGGCAAATTGGAAGCATAAACTTGGATTTTCTCATGTTTAAATGACTTAAAGACAAGTTGTATATTTTTATTCATTGTTACAGATTTGTTTCCTCTTCATGATAAATTTATGTGCAGGTCTGATTGTACAGTTTAAAGTTTGGTCTACATTTTGTTTCTTCCTGGCTGAGCACCTCTGTGTTGAGTGCTAATAGCTTTTTTTTTTAATCTAGGTTAACTACTGTGAGATAGTGGGGCCCCAATGAAACATATAAGCATACCTTTTAAAATGTTGCCAAATAGTCTTCAGAGAACATACTTAATACAAAAATGCTGTGCAGACATCATTCCGATTGATCGACTGATGGATGACTCCGCAGTTTGGATTAGAGAGAGTAAGAATTAGCCAGCCAGCATGATTTGAAAATGTCACAGGAGGGTGCCAGCAGGATGATGTCAGCCCTTGCTTTGGCCTATGCAGCATAGCACAGTCATTTCATAAAGAATTGATACTATGACACAGGGTGCTGGATGTGCATTGGGCACATCTGTAATTATAGAACTGAGTTTCTGAATGAGTCAAAACAAGGTTTAGTTAGTTCATAATGTTCAAAAATAGCTGTTTTTAAATTAGACTCTGCTAATTTAAATTATTGTTTAAAAAATTAGCATTTTCAGTGGCTGCTTTATATTCCTTTAGAGCAATGGCCTACATGTTTAATATAGTCATTTTGAATAGGCATTGCTTTTTATTCATGTAAAGTCTGTATTTCCCTCTATCTTAGTAGCCTGGTAAAAACTGAACCCTGATTTCCAGTATTCAGTTGTTTAAAGATTAGTATATTAACTCTGTATTTTTAAGAAATTTTCCCAGTGAAAGAATTTTCTGAAAAGAATGTCATAGGAAAATCTAGGCTAATACTTCTCTACACAGCACTCAGTATTTGTTATTGCTCTACAGAGTAATTTAAGTTATAGAGTCCATTGAATCTTGTGGCTGGGTTGGATATTACCCAAAGCTGCATTCAAAGGAAGAGCAGTGGTAATATCTAAATATATAGTTTGAACTATATATGTGGACATAACTTACAAATATTAAAATAAAAGGAGTAGTCATATATATAACCAAACATTTCCTCTGTACTGAGGTATATTCAGTATTATACTATGTACATTTAAAAAGTAACCCTGTAAGTTACACTAATGCAGGAGTTTGTATGGAAGTATTGCATGTTCGCAGGATTTCAGAGGCACTTTCTTAATAATGTGTTAATGGTGTTAATGTCTGTTTTATTTATTCTTTGGATTTTTTTGTTTTCATTTTTGGGTTTTTGTTGTTGTTACATAAAATAAAACTATATAAGGCTATTTGTGCCCTATATAAAATAGCTATTTTAAAGAGAATTTTAAAGTGTCATATTGTCTTATGTGCCCATGCATTTATATAGTGGTCAGAAGTGTGTCTTATAAATAGTATAATCATGTAGTAACGTCCCCTGTACCTGAGTTTCAGTGCAGTTAAGGGGCGTAATTGCAGGGTCTTTTAATACACAGTTTACTATCTACAAGTACTTACCTTAGCAGGCAATTGTTTTTGTTTTTTCTTTTTTTAAAAAAAAAAGTATGGTAAACCTTCATACTTTAGTTTTACAAAGTAATAATAAACTGTTTTGATATTAACATGTTTTAATTTGTATAGCACTTTATATTCAAGACATTTTACACATATATTTCTGATTTGACACTTATTTGTTAAATGCTTTATTTTATCTGGCTCATAGTAGAAGACTATTACAGTGACCTGCAGAAAAAAATATTGACTCTGGGCAACTAGTGAGATTTACAACTTTACTATTAAATAAGCTTTTTTATTACAACTCTTTTGAAACCAAACATATTGAGATCATTTCCTTTCGTAGGGCTTAAATATGTATTTCCCACCTTATTTTCCTGTTCCATCTACTCATATTGTTGTTAACTAAATGTTAACCATTTAAATAAGTTTCCCTTCTTTCTCTCTTAATCAGAAGAGAGGGGAACCATGCTCAGATCAAATAGGAATGTCTGTTTACACTTTTGTAATCAGTCACTTTATTATGTTAATTCTAGTTCTACCTATGTTGTAATTTTAATAGAATTCTTCAAGACTCTCCAGGTAGGGTATCATTAATACTGCTAATTTAATCCTCTTAAAATATTTGCCAGGAAAGGTATTTCTACAGTTTTTATCATGTGTTCCAACCCTAAGTATCTAAATTTTTATTATGACCAAATTTTATTATGACCAATAATGATCTTTCCATATTTGTGTTAATGATAAAATATTCCTGTTTGTAGCTTATACATATATACATATTTTTTCTAACCTATAATGCTTTTAGAAGTTATCCTAAAATCCAACTTGATATTCATATGATAAACAGAATTCAGAAATTAAGAATTTTTAAAGGGGCTGGGTGTGGTGGCTCACGCCTGTAATCCTAGCACTTTGGGAGGCTGAGGTAGGTGGATCACTTGAGGCCAGGAGTTCAAGACCAGCCTGGCAACATGGTGAAACCCCATCTTCACTGAAAATACAAAAAATTAGCCAGGTATGGTGGTGCACACGTGTAGTCCCAGCTGCTTGGGAGGCTGAGGCAGGAGAATTGCTTGAACCTGGGAGGTGGAGGTTGCAGTGAGCCAAGATGGCACTCCAGCCTGGGCAGCAGAGCGAGACTCTGACTCAAAAAAAAAAGAATTTAAAAGAATTTAAAAAGGAATTTAAAAGAATTTAAAAAGGAATTAGATTATTCTAGGTGTATCTTTTTTCCTTGTAAAATGGAATGATGGTTAGCTGTTTTCAAAAAACAAGACATTTAAATTATAGTACAAAACACCTTTTTAAAGTGTGTAGAGGCTAGAAGCATGGTATACAGTATTTGCATTTTAATTATAAGCCACCTCTTAAATATATTCATTTCCTAGTCATTACTGCTTAAAAAAAAATGCTTCCCAACTAAAATTTATGCTACTTTAGGATAAACAAAATTTTTTCCGATTGTATAAAGATGTCAACTTTAGTTATTTTTTATATAATTATTTTTTATATTTAGTTATTTTTTATAATTACTACCTTTTAATATAAAACAGAAAATGACAGAACTATGTTCAGGTGGCTTATGCTTATAGTAAAAGTTACCTTTTCTTGTAGTTCATTCACCTTTTTAAGATAAATGAAGTTGCAAGTCTAGAAATTGTCTTCTCTCTTGTACTAACAAAAAGATAGAAGGGTTTGTAAAGGAGAAAAAGTAGATTTGGCAGTTGATTAAAAATAAAAGGATGGTAACATAGTACATGAATGATCAAAAGGAAGTGGAACAAGGAGATGCATATCTTTTCATCTGAAAAGCACCCTTTTGCTTTAGGGATTATTTTTCTATTATAACAGACACCATAAGAACGGAGGTTCAAAAGTATAATTGTCAGCCCTCTGATACACTTACATTAAATAATTAATGATTCAAAATTTCCAGCATTTTTGTAATGGAATGTAACTTATAATGTGATTTTGACTTTTAGCCCCTTCCATGTATACATCAGTCACTGTTCTGCTGCTATTGCTACCTTTTCTACCTCTTAATATGGAATTCTTGAAGAGATTTACAGGAAGTGGAAAGAAATACACGCTCCCAAATGGCTTGAGTTTAAAACATATGTCTTAATGATAGAAAAGAATCATATCCCTGGAGTTTCTAGATGTTATTGTATTCCTATTATTTCAAAAATATATTTTTGAAAAATTAATGTTTCCCAGTTAAACTAAGTACATGTTCACTTTAAGAAATTTTGCTGTGAAAGCCAGAAAAAAAATCCTCTGAAATTTCACTACCCATAAGCAGCTTACCATGTTTCGTCTTTTGGATGTGTTTTTTTTTTTGTTTTTTTTTTGTTTTTTTTTTTTTTTGTGTAGTCCAAAATCAATTTTTTTTTTTTTGAGACAGAGTCTCACTTTGTCACCAAGGCTGGAGCACAGTGTCAGTATCTCGGCTCACTGCAACCTCCACCTCCTGGGTTTAAGTGATTCTTGTGCCTCATCCTCCTGAATAGCTGGGACTACAGGCATTCACCACCACACCCAGCTAATTTTTGTATTTTTAGTAGAAACTGGGTTTTACCATTTTGGCCAGGCTGGTCTCGAACTCCTGACTTCAAGTGGTCTGTCTGCCTTGGCCTTCTAAAGTGTTGGGATTACAGGCATGAGCCACCATGCCTGGCCCCAAAATCAAATTTTAAAAAATTGTTTTAAACATACCAAAGGTAGCTATCCATGCTATCCTTTCTAGCTAAACATAAAAAAAAAAAAAAAAAAAAGATTCAGATTCCATTTTCACAGTTGGGAAATACCACATAAATTCTCCTGAAGTTACCACAATCTTACTAGCCAAAGATTAAAACAAAAAAATTGTATGGACAGACTCCACTAATTCAGAATGTCTGATAATTCAGATAATGGCTATGCTAAAGTCTCTACTGCTAATAAAAATATCTTTAGCAAGTTAAAAGTGTTAACAAGAAATGTTTAAAAAAGATGTTTTTGTGTTGGGTAATATAGATTCCTGGTTGGAATATGTGGGCTTTCATAAAATGTAATGATAACAGAATATCCTAATGACTTATATTTTTATGTTAATTCCCAAATAAAACTTTACATATTAAAGATTATAAGATATCATCTGCCAGCATAGAAAGCCAAGTTGTTTCATTGTAACTTTCAAATGAAATTTAGAAATTTGACTGAAAACAATTTTTTTCTTCCTGGGAAACTTACTATTTGCCTGTTTATTCCACCAACCTTTGAAAACGACCTCTTTTCCTAGAAGTGAGACTTTAACAACTATGGTTCAAGCATACCTTTTACATCTTCAGGAAGAGAGATTGACTTAATCATATTTAACTCCCTTCCTGAGAAAGTAATCAGATTTTATCAACTATGAAAAAATAATGGAGTGCCCTTCCCCCAGGGACAGACTGAAACTCGGGTAGCTCTGATGCCGTAAGTTGTTAAAGTTAGTTGCTGCTTATCACTACCACCTGCTAGTTGTTTCAGACGCCTCACTGGAGATTCTTTTAAAGGAGCAGTCTCATTGAGTCAGTTGGGGTTTCACTAGAGTTTGCTTAGATGCTAGCAACAGTATAGAGCTTAAGAGTTCCATCTTCTAACCAAAGTGCTCTTGAGCCATGCTGTTCTGAGTGTGAAGGTGATGAAGAATTCAGCCATATATATCTAATACCTCCTGTGGTTTAGGGAAGAACAATAGAATGAGGCTTTATAGGGAAGAAAAATCATATTTCCTTATTTCCTAAGCACTTCCTGTGTACTCAGCATTGTAGTAATGCTAGTGCTGCTTTGTATTTTCTAGGACAGTACTTTCCAACCTTTTTCACATCATGGTACACAGAGAAAATTATGAAATTTGTCACAACACACTAGGGCAAGCAGATGAAGCTGCTCTTGTCCAAATGAGACTGCCAAGGAGCTCTAGCTATTCCAGACCCTGTCCAGCCATCCTTCAGGATGAGGGGATTAGAACAAATGTGGATGAGAACAGGATGAGAACAAATGTGCCTAGATATTTGTTGGAATATCTAGGTTGGAATATCTGAGGTTGGAATCCTCAGCCAAACTACAGAAGTCTACAGTGTGGTCTGAGCTTTAAGAGTTTAGACTGGCATACATGAGTTAATTATAAGCATATTATAGTTAATTATAAGCATACCTGGGTGAGTTAGAAAAAGTTGTTGACATTGAACATCTCTAGAAACACTAAAGCTCTTACAGGAAGTAGTTTTGAGTTTAAGGTGTATAATTTTACAAATGTAACAATATTGATGACAAGGTAAAGTCCATTGAACAAGGGAAAATTAAGAAGTGGAAGATCAAAAGGAGTATAGTCAGAAGAAGGGGCACTTATTTAATGGAATCAGACTTGGGGACAACTTAGAGTTTTGGAATATATTTTGCAAAATAAGTGTTCTGAGGTTTATAATATCTTTAGACTTGGAGTCAGAGTTAGTTTTAATGTGACTTCTTCCTAGGAATACAGTCTAATCCTAGACTTATTTAAGGTTTTCACTTCTAAACTCGTGTATTCAGTAGGTTTGGCCATTGCTAGAATGTAAATTAAGCGTCCCTTATGAAAATTAGTAACTGATAGAACACTATATTTGGTTTCTAATTAGTAGTTATTCTTCACTGCAGCAAACTCAAATTTAGAATTTAGAAATGGCACAGAGACTCACCCTTATAAGAGTTGCTATTTTCTAAAATGTAAAAGTAGTAGAGAAGTACTTGAATATATAACAGTAACTCCTGTGAAATAACCTTGGATTTTTATTACCAAATAAACTCTCAGTGGAATCTAGTCACTATTAGAATTTATACTTAACTGTGAAGTTCAAACTGGAAATCAACCTCATGGGTTTAAAGGGAGTATAAATTCATTTATGCTGATAAAACATTATAAACGATGTCTATCATTGTTACTTTATTGTCATGTACATGTATTTTCCTTTGAGAACACAGCAAATGAGCATAGCTTACAAACCCAAAACTCTACCTTAAAAATGGGATATAATTAGAGGATAATAATGTCAGACCTCCTGTCCAGAATGCTCTTAAAGGAATTCCCCTTAGAGTCAAGCCCAGCTAGTTTAATGTAGTCAGAAATGCTTATTTCCAAATTCTCAATTTAAAATAAAGCAGAATTTAAAAGTGGGATTGTTACATCATGATAGTGCTTTAGGGTAATTGAGTATTTCATATTAATTGGTATTGGTAAGAATAGCATTTCTGCTGGGTATTAACATATCCATATATTATTCTCTCATCTGTGATCATATACATGTTATTAATTTAAGCCCCCATATTTTTGTCTCCTTTCTCATCTCTTTCATTAGTGAGTTACTGTTTTCTGGTATTTTTAAAAGCAGTTATCAAATTATAAAAATTTTCAGCAACTTTTCTATTTTGAGCTAAGTGCATCTCCTTCTAGAATGAGTCTGTGAACTTCTTTTAGAATTCCCTTAAGAGGAAATTATTATCTATTTAAAATTCTATAGTATAGTTAACAGTCTCAACTTCTTAAATCAATTATTACCCTTTATTATAATGAAACTTCCTTAGTGTAAAGTTAGGTTCTCAATTAACAATAAATATCTCTTCTTAAGTTTAAGGTAGTGATGATGAGCACAAGTGCTCTTCAGGTAGTCATTACTGTTACCTTATTCTTTAAGCTATCATCTTTCATCCATTCAGTCTTTAAAACTACTAGATGAGTTAAAATCCAACTGACTCTGAAAAAAAATCTTCTCTTTTTTCAAAATCCACCAACTTGTGATGATTCTCCTGCTTTTCATGTTTAAGTTCTTATCTAATTTCAATTTGTTGGTACCCTGGTGCTATAGGCAAGTATTCATGTTGAAGTTAGTATTAAGACCAAAATTATAATGCTTTTCTTAATGGGGGAACCCTAAGGCTACTCACTCAGTCCATTGAGGGGATAAGAGAGATGGCTCATTCCCATCCAGTTTTGTTTACAAACGATGTTGCTCAAATTTAGGTGACTGGCTACTAGGGAAATAAATGAATGTGGAATTGAGGATGGAACAAAGAATTCAATGCTTTACAATAAATGGACTGTATTTGAGAGTTCAAGAGAGGATTGGAGAAAATAACTGAGTATGTAAAAAATGGTAAGTTTCTGATTGTTCAGTTGAAGGCAAGTGGCTGGCTCGATGAAATGACATAACTGATAGTTTTCATCTGTGACCCTGATATCTTAGCCTCTATCTCAGAATTGAGAAATGAGCAGAGTTTATCAGAAAGGAATTTCATTGCTGGTATCTTTTGTGTGTGCATGATGTATAGTACACACAGCTCTCCTTATTGATCCTTCACAGGTGTATTATTTACTTTGCCTTCCAGGTGTCCGCAAATATGGTAAAGATTTTCAAGCTATTGCAGATGTAATTGGCAACAAGACTGTTGGCCAAGTGAAGAACTTCTTTGTAAACTACAGGCGTCGGTTTAACTTAGAGGAGGTATTGCAGGAGTGGGAAGCAGAACAAGGAACCCAGGCTTCTAATGGTGATGCTTCTACTTTAGGGGAGGAGACAAAAAGTGCTTCTAATGTGCCATCAGGGAAGAGCACTGATGAAGAAGAGGAGGTGTGTTTGTGTATGGAATTTGAGCTAATATGAGTTGAGGAATCACCATTTTGTGTGGTATTCTGTAAGGTTAATTTGTCAAGAGGACTAGCTAAATTGAGCATGAAAGGTTGACAATACACTTCTTCAGTGGTGCATCTCTCGTGACTCTTAAGTCATAATGACATGCTAAGTTCTGATTCTAGAAGAATGGAGAGTGTATTGTTCTTTCATAGTCTTATTTTTATTTTCAGTGTTAAGCTGTTTACAAATAAAGATGCCTGTTTGGTAGCCTCATTGGTTTTTGGTTTTTGGTTTTGTTTTGTTTAAAATAAAAGAAGCTTGTGCTTCCAATAAACACTGGTGTTATGTTTTTGTTTTGTTTTGATTTGTTTTGTTTTTCCTGTGACAGCCCAAACTATATTGTATTAAGTTCATTAGGACTTACATCTCATACGTGTATTTTTGTTTCCTCACCTCTAGGCACAGACCCCACAGGCTCCTCGGACACTGGGTCCATCACCTCCTGCCCCATCATCCACTCCAACACCAACAGCCCCTATTGCCACTCTGAACCAGCCTCCACCACTTCTTCGTCCAACACTGCCTGCTGCCCCGGCTCTTCACCGGCAGCCTCCTCCACTCCAGCAGCAGGCTCGGTTCATCCAGCCCCGGCCAACTTTAAATCAGCCTCCACCACCTCTTATTCGCCCTGCTAATTCCATGCCACCCCGTCTAAACCCAAGACCGGTGTTGTCCACGGTTGGTGGTCAACAGCCACCATCACTTATTGGAATTCAGACAGATTCACAGTCCTCACTGCACTAAAAATTAAATTGGACACAGCTGCAGTAACTTTTCACCCCATCATTATACCAGTGCTCATCTGACTGATGAAAAAGAGGAAAGAATAATCATTTCTAGATACTGAGGCTGCGAACTAGTTCTGTGGCAGTGGACTAGCATAAGTGGATGTCTAAGAAATTTTTCAGTTCACTAGACTAAAATGTTTTACAACAAAAAGCCTCCAGTTAGCCTCCTTTCTAGAGTATATGTTCAGCAATGTTGATCTCATAAAAGGAAAAACAAAAGATTTAAGTATTCTATATACCAAGTTTTTGTTTTGTTTTTACTGTATTTATTTTATTGAGGTTCTTTATATTCCTGCCTCTTCATAGTCAAGGCTCTTAGTACAGGAATATTGACTTAGGAATTGTGAAAACTCCTTAAGTTTCTTAAGTTAAGGATGTTTGGCTTTTTTCTTTAATTTTTTAAAAACCATTTTCCTATGTTAGGAGTGCAAGAATAGCCAGCATTTCCGATTTTGACATATGTTCATTTTATGCATATTTAAGAAATTATAGCTGCATATCCCTTCTTTCAAAAAATGTTGCTTTTTTTTTTAAAGGAATTTTAATATATTCCTTTAAAAGAAAGCAATTTAATCAATTGCAAAGCAATTATATAAAACCACAAAGAATGTACTGAACCTACTAACCCTTTAACATACAGTTTAGGGTCCTAGCGCAGAGTCCTTGTTTAAAGGTCATTGACTCATCATCTGTCAGTAATGAGAGGATTGGAAGAATAATTTTGCATACAAATGAGGACTTAATTTGTTGAAATATAATCTCTTTAAGTTCCTTGAAAATGGAGTTGGTTTTTTTTGTTTCTAAATGCTATCTGCTTTTAACTAGTAGTTGCCTACATCTGGGGACTTCAGAGAAGAATTATATTTTGTTAGTTAAGTAGACACAGTGGTTATGGAAGCATTTCTTTACAGTACCCTTTACATGTTTGGTTTCTGAACTTAAAATTGCCCTCATACTTAATAATATGGTCTGCATTTAATATGAAAGGTGTTTTATTGATAAATCTATTGTACTATTTGGATACATTTGTGTATTCCTTGCAGCCAACCTGTATTCGTGGGATTGGTGTAGGGTTAAATCATCAACATTATTTCATAAAATAAGAATTTGTTCTGTGTTATCTAAAGATGTATCAGTATATTGTCACAGTTGTGCTGTTAACTAAAAATGCTGAGACCCCTTTTTATAGAAAAACAAAAAGACATCAAGTCTTCTTAATTCAACCCATAATCATTAAGTACTTAACAAAGAATATTTTACAAGTGATAGTATTTCAACAATGTGTAATTAATATTTTTGATACAGTGATTTCATATTGGAATCATTATTTGTGCAAAGGGACAGACAGATCACTTAGATTGCTATACTAGTGGACATAGGCTACATGTTTGCACATTCACATTCTTATCACGTGTAGAATACTTCACAAAATAGTCAACATCTAAGGCCCTAATTTATGTTTTGAAAGATCATGTGTTCCCAAAGTATTCCCTATTGTTGGCTCCACAGCCTTAAAGTGCTATAGATTTAAATTCATTGATTAGTTTTAATTTTTAATTTTAGACTGTGTATTTCCATAAATACCCTACGTACTGGCATATTTGAAACTCTTTTTCCAGGTTAGGTCCTTTTCTTTCTCATTGAATCATCTTAAATAGTTCTTGGCCCTGAATTTAGCTGATTTAAAATTCTTAATATTCAAGAATTTATACTTATTTTTTCCTTAAAAGCCACAGGGGACAGTTAAATATCTTAAAATATCTAAAACATTTTTTAAAGCACTTAGATTGTCTTACGTATGTGCATACTATACCTTTACAGCGTTTATTGTCTTGTCTCTTGTCAGTAGACCTTCAGTACACAGTATGTGGGATATGTCAGTCAAGTTGGTCAGCACCAGCATCTGTCCAGCTGTTCAGTATATTGTGATTCATTAAAAAATCTCTTCTATCCCAGACATGGGCCAAGGTGCTGTATCTGAGGGATGTGCTGTAATTTGATTTACATGCATTAGAGCACACAGTAGAAAAACTTTAGCTTCATTAGTAATATGACACATGTATATAGTGAGATGTCTTTATTGTGTGCTTTGCATATTTTGTAAATATTTTGCACGTCATTATTTTTCTTTTTTGTTTAAGCAGTGTTTGGCCTGGAAGAGTGATATGCTTGCTGCTTAATCAAAGGATTAAAGATTTAAAGATGTCTATGTCTTCTATTTTTATATAATTTCATGTTCTATGAGGAATTTAGTACCTCTTCACTGTGAAATTCGAAATAATGATTTTTATAAAAGCAAAACTAGAAATCTTTTAATGACAATTTTCATTAATTTCAGGGTTATCATTTTTGAGAAATCTACACCAAAGTGGTTTTTTAAAATTACATAACTAAAAATAAACCACACTGTGGATACATCTTATAAAACTAATGGAAACAATGTTTTTCTATATGATTTAATTCTAGTGTAATATGGATGAGGTAAGAGTAAGTTATGATCAAACTTTTTATGTTCTTAATAAGCTTGCAATTGAGTAAAATAGAATATAAAATAAAGGTGAAATAATATAAAATTTTGTCTTAATGTAGGCCTACATTCTTTTTAGGAATAGATGTAGAGAGCAAGCCAAGAACGTGACTATCATTTTTAAGAATATTAAAAATTGCAAGTACAGTCATGCCCTTAACAACGGGGATATGGTCTGAGAAAGGTGCTGTTAGGTGATTCTTTTGTGCTGTGAATCAGATTGTACTTGTACCAACATTGGTGGCAAAGTCTACTACACACCTAGGCTATATGGTATAGCCTTTGCTCCTAGGCAACAGTCCTATGCTGTACAGTAATATACTGTACTGAATATCATAGGCAGTTATAACACAGTGGTAATATCTGTGTATCTAAACATAGAAAAGGTATAGTAAAAATACAATATTTTATATATTTATTTTTTGAGACAGGTTCTCACTCTGTCGCACAGGCTGGAGTGCAGTGGCGGGATCTTGGCTCAGCAACCTTTGCCTCCCAGGCTCAAGCAGTTCTCCTGTCTCAGCCTCCTGAGTGTCTGGGATTACAGGCGCCCGCCACCACACCTGGCTAAGTTTTGTATTTTTTAGTAGAGATGGGGTTCCACCGTGTTGGTCGGGCTGATCTTGAAGTCCTGGTCTCAGGTGATCCACCTGTCTTGGCCTCCCAAAGTGCTGGGATTACAGGTATGAGCCACTGCTTCCTGCTGATGTTATAATTTTAAAGAACATCAGTGTATTTGCAGTCACTGACCGAAATATTGTGTGGTGCATGACTGTACTTGGGTTAAAGTACCTAGTTTAGTTATTAAGTATGTTGTATTAATTTTATGTTCCCTCCTGTTATCAAAAGGTTATTTATGAACATTAATAACTGCTAACTAGTTAACACTGGGGTGTCAGGATCTCCTCAAAAAGAATAGTAATCTGACTTCGAACTCTAAGAAGAATCTATCTTTCTCTTTGTGCATGCCCAAAATAAATGACAAATACATTCTTATTAGAGGACACACAAGAAAAAAAGTGTTTTTAAATTTAGCCATTCATTATAGATTACATCGTTTATAAGAAAATAACAGAATAAATGAATACGGAAAGAACCCAAGAATCAAGTTTGAGAAACCATTCCATATTAGAAAATGCCTACAAGAAACTTTTGACATCTGATTTATGGTAGTACCTGAACTGTTTTCACCTAGGAAAGAGTAGGTCATGTGTAACTCCCCACAACTTCTTTATCATAACTGCCTTAGGGAAGGAATGTTCTGCAGCAGTATATTAGTGACAATGGAGTTTGAGAATTAAACATGACAAGGAATGCTCCTAGATGTGTGAGTTTGTGTCTAAAGGGCCATGTGGCTTTATCTGCCCTTTTTTGCTCTCCTAAGTCTATATAGCTAAGGGAGAAACAGTGAAGATCAGAAGTTAATATTGGGTTGAGATGTTTGCCAATTGTCATTACTTGGTTTAAAGTAGACAATTGTTTATTAATAAACGGAACAGTCTTTACAATGCAGTAATCTAAACTTTAGAATCCTAAAGCAGGAATCTGGGTGAGCAGGGTCTCTAAGGAAAAAATGCTGGTGATGTGAAGTGGAGAGATCTAAGAACAGTCTTCACAATGTAAATGAGGTCAAAGTTGATGTCACAGAATGCTTCATATGTTTCCTTCCCTTGGACTATTTTAAGAAAGGTGAAATTTTTATTCTGTACAATTTAATCTTATTTGTAAGGTACAGTTACCAATAACTAAGAAGATGCTGAATAATACCACAACACAAGGTATCTCTTGAGGGATCTGTCTAGTTTACTACCTGGAACAGCTTTCTTATTTGACAGGATTTGGCTTGAAGAGGCCTTTAATCCAAAGACCATTTTGTTGATATCCTGCCTCTTCATCTTTTCCAAAAGAGTTTGAAAATAATCAGAATCATTGAGGGCTTGTGGCCTATATTTGCAAAATAATTGCCCACCAACCTTTAACACAATGAGTTTTCCAACTCCACTAAGCAAGTTACTTAATCTCTGTGAGCCTCATTTTCCTCATTTGGGGAGGAATATATAAACTGGGGCATATAGTACCTGCCCAATGTATGTTAGAGGTTTTTACATGTCTACTTATACCATACCCTTCTTAATAAGGGAAATGTATTGTGACTTTTTTTTTTTTTTTTGGACAGAGTCTCGTTCTGTCACCCAGGCTGGAGTGCAATGGCGCAATCTCAGCTCATTTTTTTAAAAAAATTAAAGTGCAGTGCAAAAATGAGAGATTAATTTCAGTTCAAGATGACAGACTGGACATAGTCTTTTACTTTTCTTACCCATAATCTCCCCCTGCCAGTCTTACTGAAATGACAAGAAATAGAAAAACCAAAATAACCCTTAGCAGTGCTAGGAAGCCAGAGGAGGAGCTACCAGCAGATGGGGATACATTTATGACAAAAGCCAGCAGAATTAAGGAACCTCTAATGTGACAAAGAGCTGAAGCCAGCCTTTTGCTAACAGCCAGCAAAGAACTCAGGCCTTCAGTTCAACAACCTGCCAGGAACTGAATCCTGCCAACATCCATGTGCACTTGAAAATGGATCCTTCCCCAGTTGGGTCTTGAGATGACCAGAACCCAGCTAACAGCTTGATTGCAGCCTATGACTTGAATAACACACCTTTACCTAGTTGAAATGTGGGATCATTCTACCCAACAGCAGAATAAACATTGTTTCCATGTGCACATGAAATATTGCTCAATATCAGCACTACTGACATTTTAGGTTAGATAATTCTTTTTTGTGCATTTAGAATGTTGAACAGCATCCTCAGCCTCTACCCACCAGATACCAGTAGAACCCCCTTCCCCAGTTTGAGAATCAAAAATGTCTCCAGACATGGTCAAATGTCCCATAAGGAGCAAAATCACCTCCAGTTGAGAATCATTGCAATATATCATATTAATAAAATAAAGGAAAAAAGCCATATGATTATGTTGATAGACACAGAAAAGATATTTGACAAAATCCAACACCTATTCATGATTAAAACTTAGAAAACTAGGAATGCTTCCCCTCAGGATGGAAATCAAGGCAAGGATGTCTGCACTCACAACTCTATTCAGTGGTTTACTGAAGGTTATAGCCAGTGCAATAGGCAAGAAAAAAGTATAGAGATTGGAAAGGAAAAACTAAAATTGTTTTTATGTGCAGATGACATGAAATTGTATGTAAAAAATCCCAAGAAACCTGCAAAAACTAGAATAGTAAGCAAGCTTAAGAAAATCAGAGGATACAAGATCAATGTACAATCAATTGTATTTTCATATAATGGCAACAAGTGATCTGAGAATGGAATTAAGAAAATTTTATTCATGATAGTATCAAAAAATAGGAATAAACAAAAATGTGCAAGACTTGTCCATGAAAAACTATATTGCTGAGAGAAATAAGACCTAAATAACTAACTGTTCATGGATTGGAAGATTGATATTGTTAAAATGGCATTTCTCCTCAAACTGATTTATAGATTCAATCTAATTCTTATAAAAATCCTAGCAGGCTTATTTTGCACAGACTGGCAAACTGATTTTGAAATTTATATGGTAATGCAAAGGACCTAGAACAGGGGCCAGTAAACTTTTTCTATAAATAGCCAAATAGTAAATATATTAGGCTTTGTGGTCCACAAACTGTTGCAACTCCTGGCCTCTACCATTTTAGTTCAAAAACAGCCAGAGAAAATACATAAATGGACAGATATAGCTATGTGTCAATAAAACTTTATTTACAAAAACAGGCAGCAACTCCTAACTTAAAATAGACAAAACAATTTTGAAGAAGAACAAAATTGGGTGATTGGCACTAACTGATTTCCATATTTGTTATAAAGATGCAATAATCAAGATTGTAATATTGGTGTAATGATGGACATATAGATCAATGGAACAAAATAGAGTCCAGAAATAGACTCATCCATATGTGATCAACTAATTTTCAATGAAAGTGTCAGTGTAATTCAATGGCAGAAGTGATAGAATATCTGCATGCAAAAAAAAAAACCTCCAATAAACCTTGATCCTTCCCTCACATCATGCATAAAAATAAACATGAGATGGAACACAGACCTAAATATAAGAACAAAAATGGCCGAGCATGGCGGCTCACACCTGTAATCCCAGCACTTTGGAAGCCCGAGGTGGGCGGATCACCTCAGGTTGGAAGTTTGAGACCAGCCTGGCCAATATGGTGAAACCCTGTCTCTACTAAAAATACAAAAATTAGCCGGGTGTGTGGGGCACGCCTGTAATCCCAGGTACTCGGGAGGCTGACGCAGGAGAATTACTTGAACCCAGGAGGTGGAGGTTGCAGTGAGCCAAGATCGCGCCACTGTACTCCAGCATGGGTGGGACAGGGTGAGACTCTGTCTCCAAAAAAAAAAAAAAAACCAAAACAAACAAACAAAAAAGAACAAAAATATAACTTTCTAGAAAAAAAAAACGAGAAAATATATCACTGAAGCATGATCCATAATAGAAAAAATTGATAAATTATATTTCATCAAAATTAAAAATGTTCCTTTTCAAAAGACACAAGAAAATGAAAAGGTTAGCCATCGGTCAGGAGAAAATATTTGCCAAACATATGTCTGATCAAAGATTTGTATCCAGAATATATAACAAACTCTTCCAATTCAAATATAAGCGCTCTTTCAAATCAATAATAGAACAAAAAGAGCGGGGTGGTGGAAGATTTGGATAGACATTTGCCGAAGAAGATATGCAAATGGAAAAAAAGATGATCACATCATTAGTCATAAAGGAAATGCAAAGTAAAACCACAATGAGCTACCTGTAACACCCACTAGAATAGCTAATATTAAAAAGACTGACAATACCAAGTGTTGTCAGGGATGTGAAGAAACCGGAACCCTCTTACATGGATGGTAGAAATGTAATATGACACAACTACTTTGGAAACCTATTTGGCAACATCTAAAAGACTAAATGTACACTTACAATACAACCCATTAATTTTACTCCTAGGCATCTACCTAAAGAGAAATGAAAATGTATGTGCACACAAAAACTTCTATTCAAATGTTCACAGCAGCATTATTTATAATTGTAAAAACTAGAAATAATCCAAATGTCTATCAGCTGGGGAATAAACAAAATGGTCTATCAATACAATTTTTCTATTATGGATCATGCTTTGGTGATATATTTTCAGGTGTATTTTTCTAGAAATTTATAGTTTTGTTCTTATATTTAGATCTTATGCTCCATCTGGTTAATTTTTATGCATGGTATGAGGTAGTCAACAATAAGAAAGAAAACACTAATGACTTATGCACCAACATGGATCAATGACAAAAGTATTTTCCTACTTGACACAAACTGCTACGTATTTATTCATATTAATTTTCTTTTTTTTTTTTTTTAGATGGAGTTTTGCTCTTATTGCCTAGGCTGGAGTGCAATGGTGTCATCTCGGCTCACCACAACCTCCACCTCCTGCGTTCAAGCGATAATCCTGCCTCAGCCACCAGAGTAGCTGAGATTACGGGTGCCTGCCACCACACCCAGCTACTTTTTTGTATTTTTAGTAGAGACAGGGTTTCACCATGTTGGCCAGGCTGGTCTTGAACTCCTGACCTTGTGATCCACCTGCCTCAACCTCCCAAAGTGCTGGAATTACAGGCGTGAGCCACAGCGCCTGGCCTTATTCATATTAATTTTCAAAAAATGCAAAGTTATAGCGACAAAGGAGATCTCTTGCCTGAGGCCAGGGCTGGGGGTGTGGATTGACTGCAAATGGACACGGGGAGATGGATTTGTTCTAAAATTTCATTGTGGTTATGGCTGCACATCTGTATACATTTACTAAAATTCATCAATTGGGTGAATCTTATGTTATTAAAAGTACATCAGTAAAGTTGTTTAAACAAGGAAGAAGAAGTATGGAACTGGAAGGGCTGTACAAAACCTGTATCACAATGAGAGGCCCTCATTTGTGCCAACAGAAAGTAGCATGGGATTTCAGAGGATAGAAGTGGCAAGGTCATGGAATACTGAGGTGTGATTAGAGTCAAAGACCCTTGAACTTTGTGTTTTTTCCTAGGATGGGCCCTTCCTGAGCTTATGCCTTTCTTTCTAATGCTTCTGTCCTGTTTTCTGTGAAATGGAAGATGTGACTAACCAGGGTTCCAAGATCATTGCTTGAAATCTCAGCATATAGAGTAAGCACCATTCTCAAAAATAAATACCAAATAAATGGTCTTCCTTGTTACCAACCTATTAAAAAATCCAAGACCAAACTGTGCCAATCAAACCTATTATCTTACTTCATGATTCCTAAGGCTAAACAATAACTTTTAAATCTATATTGTAATGGCTTCTGGTGATTATGCAGAATTAATATGTTAAAATGTTTTCCTAGCAGTGATAGGAATTGCATGTGTGAATCTTATTAAAGAAACTGTCAAAGAGGACAGAATTCATACTTAGCCAGGTGTACAATGAAGACAGGAGGTCTAATGTAAAAACAATAAAAATCTCATTTCTCCAGCCAAGGCTGACCATCAGACAATTAAACCATGAACAGGAATAAAGAAGGGTGTGTTTATGTATCAAGCAGGGGATCCCCTGGAATAAATACATAATATATGGCCATAGGAACAGTACAGGTCTGCTTTTTTCAACTGGTGCTGACCCTATAACACAGTAAATAACAATAGAGTAAAACAAGGTAGAACAAAAGAAACATGGTTTTTTCTTAAGCTCCTAAGTTAAAGGTGCAGCTGCTGAATGCACATACACAGGTTCTTTTGCAAAGGGAGGCTTAAAAAAATTTACATCGGTCCCTGCCCCATCCCAGTACTCCCCGCCTCTCTTCTTGTGGTGGTCAGCACACTGACAGGCAGAGCTGAGCTAAAGGTTATTTGATGGAAGCAGAGGGATCAGTCATTCATATATTGTCTCAATACAACACCTACTTAGTGAGCAAGCTGAGTATTCTCTGTGCACAAGACCCTGAGATCTGCATTTTGCCTGGAAGTGGTTTGCTGCTACAGTATATCACATTTTCCATGTGTGGTTCTGTTTACAGACAAAGACTTTCCATTGTAACTTGCAATGGAGTCAAAGTCGCAATCTATGGCCCAAGGAGAGGATTTTCCCTCCTTATCTGATCTCACTGATCTCTAGGTGATGGGAAGTATGAACTTTTGCCCTGCAAGCTAACTCACTACATTGATCAGTCTCGTCACAGAGGAGCAGCCTGAGGAAGATAATGCATCCATCTACTATTCCAGTAGGCGGCGTCCTCACCTCTCCATCAGCACCATCTTTACATTGGCAGCCAGGGCTGCAGTCTCTCACCCTAATTTATACAGCAAATTAAACAGCTGAAATCCATGTCTTCGGGCGTCTGGGGCAATCTTACGGTGTCTAGAAGCAACAGATAAAAGGGTTAGTGCTTTTCTTCTGCATAAAACTGTAGTGTATAGTTCAGCCCTGGTCTTATTTTGTAGCTGAATTTAGTTTGAAGGTTGGATTCTCTTCAATGTTAGATATAATGTTGAACTTAATGCTGAATATTTTCAAAACACTAAAAGTACTAAAATTTGTCTTTAAGTTGTTTTGTTTGAATTCACATCAGTCATTTATTTGAGGGGTAGGGTATAGTGGCTAGGAGTACCAGAACCAGACTTCCCAGAATTCAAATTCTGCCTCTCTCAAACTAAGAATTTTGTGATTCTGGGCAAATTGCTCAATAGATAAGATTTTCCATCTATAAAATGGAGTTGATTATTAAATGAGTTAATATAAAAAACACTGAGCACAGTACCTGGTATATAAAACGTAATAGGCCGGGCACAGAGGCTCATGCCTATAATCCCAGCACTTTGGTAGGCCGAGGTGGGTGGATCACTTGGGATCAGGAATCTGAGACCAGCCTGGCCAACATGGCGAAATTCCATCTCTACTAAAAATACAAAAATTAGCTAGGTGTGGTGGTGCACGCCTATAGTCCCAGCTACTCGGGAGGCTGAGGTGGGAGAATTGTTTAAACCCAGGACGTGGAGGTTGCAGTGAGCCAAGATCACGCCACTGCACTCTATCCTGGGTGACAGAGCGAGATTCCATCTAAAAAAAAAAAAAAGAAACCTTAATAAACGTTAGTTATCACTTGAAGGTATTTAATGTTTTTTTATATGTGCATTTATGTACATACAGGATTCAAATTCCGCTTTATGATCAACAGGGAATTGGGACTATGTTACTGACTTCTGACTAATACCCGTCTAAAATTCCTTTACCCTTTCCACTTAGACGCAGCCCTCGAGTTATGCGGCCCCCATTTCCCACCACAATAAAGATCCACCTCTCTATCCCAGGTTTTATTCCATCATATTTAAGGCTTGGATGTAATTTTTGGAACAATTGACTGCTTTATTTAGTTGGTGGGGAGAGGAGTAGGAGAGAGAAGCAAATTACAGTCAATGACAGGACCAGGGATTCTGAGCATACCTGCATGTATGCATACTAGACACTGATGTTCCAGCCAGTGAAAGGAGATATAACTTCTAAAAAACAGTATCAACTTTATTATGCTTGGAAGTAATGAGAAGAGAGGCAAGAAGCAGGCAATGGTAAGAGAAAGCGGGTGGGACGTAGTGGCTTGCACATTTAATCCCAGCACTTTGGGAGGTCGAGGTGGGAGGATCGCTTAAACCCAGGAGTTTGAGACCAGCCTGGGCAACATAGTAAGTCTCCATCTCTTCAAAAAAAAAAAAAAAAAAAAAGGAGCTGGGGGAGGTGGGCGTAGTGGTGTGTGCCTGTAGTCCCAGCTACTCTGGGGGCTGAAGCGGCAGAATTACTTGAGCCCAGGAGATCCAGCCTGCAGTGAGCTGTGATCATGCCCCTGCACTCCAGCCTGGGTGACAGAGTGAGAACCTCTCTCAAAAAATACACACCCACAAAAAGAGAGGGAAAGTATAGTGTATGGCAGAACAGGAAGGAGAACTTGGGTTCACTAAGCACCTACTCTGTGTTAGGCGTACAGGAGTGCCATCTCATTTAATTCTCATGAGAAGATTATGAGACAGATCTACAGTCCCAAAGCAACACCCACCAGTGCCTCTCCCCCACGGAGCGGTTCATCTAACTCACCAACCAAAAAAGGTTTGGATCTGGATTTCTGGCTCTTTGGAGAAATAAGAGATCAGGTAACAATAGGCTGGCACTGGGTGGTGGCTGCTCCACTAGATCCTCCACCTGCTCTTTAGTGCACCAGCGCCTCCCTCCTTTCTCCATGACCACAACCTCTGCCTCCCTCCTGTATGTTTCCTGCCGAGCTCCTGTGCACATCTGAGTTTTTGACTCCCAAGGTGTGTATTATTCTCCCCTTTTATTGACGAGGACGGTAACTGAAACTCAGAGCAGTTAAGTACTTTTCCCACGGTGGCCTAACTGAAAGTAAAGGATCTAGATAGAATTGGAATTTTGGTCCATTTCATTTATATAGAATGTATTGCCCTTGGAGAGAATATATTGTAAGAAAGAGCCCGTATCTAAGAGTGCGCAGGCCAAGCGCGGTGGCTCACGCCTGTTGGGAGGGCAAGGCAGGCGGATCACAAGGTCAAGAGATGAGACCAGCCTGACCAACATGGTGAAACCCCGTCTCTACTAAAAGTACAAAAATTAGCCCGGCGTGGTGGCACATGCTTGTAATCCCAGCTACTCGGGAGGCTGAGGCAGGAGAATTGCTTGAACCTGGGAGGCCAGGGTTGCAGTGAGCCGAGATCGCGTCACCGCACTCCAGCCTGGCGTGAGAGCGAGACTCCGTCTCAAAAAATAAAATAAAATAAAAAATACGTATAGAGAGAGAGAGAGGGAGAGAGACAGGCAGACAGCAGACCTGGATTCAAGTTCCAGCTGCAGAGCTTGCTGAGCGTGTCTAACCTTGGGTACGTCACTCCACGTTGCTGCTCTGGCCCTCAGACAGCTCATCTGTAAAATGGGGATGACCAGGCCTACTTCACCAGCTTGTTTTGAGGACCACAGGAGATGTTTGGGAAGCCAACCGGGGAGCTCTACAACTCTCAGAGATTGCTGGTGTTAGGCCAACAGCAAGAGGAGGGCTGGCAAATTTGTGCTACCCTGAAGGAAAGTCCAGGAAGGACTGATTTGAGCCAGATCTCAAGCAAGGCCTTGAGCAAATGGGTCAACACAGGAGAGGACGGGCTGAGCCTTGTTGTGCCTGACGGAAGAGCAAGACGGCCACAATTCAGACGCACGTGAGGGAAATCAGATGACTGGACTTGTAGATACTAACGGTTCTGAAGCGGGTAGGTTAGCTTTCCAACCGCCTGGATGACGGTCTCAGCCTCCTCCCGACCCCTTCCTGCGCGTCCGCTCTTCCCCTGCGCCCGCCCGCGCCCCTCCGCCCGCGCCCCGGCCCCGCCCCAGGCCTCGCCTCCGCTTCGCCGCCGCCGCCGGCCGCAGCCAGGAGCAGCAGCCGCGCCTGCAGACCGGCCTCGCGGAGCCCGCGCGCCGAGCCCCACGTGAGTCCGGCGGGTCGCCGCCCTGGGCACCCTCGCGACGGAAGGGCCGGGGTGGGGACACCGACGAGCGCTTTTCATCTCGTCCCAGTTACTTTGAAACCGAAAGCGCCTGCTGGCGTCCGGCCGGTCCCCGACCGGCGGGGAGGGCGCGAGGCGGCGGCTGGGCCGGGGGAGGCGGAGGGGCCCGGGCTTGCGGGAGACCGGCGGGGCAGGTGACCGCCGACGGCCCGGGGACAGCGGGAGCGGTGCGGAGCGGGTTTCTTAGCCGGGGAGAGGTGTGGCGAGGGCGGAGACTGGGGGTCCAAAGCTGGGGAGCTGGTCCAGAGGGCGGCTGTGGACCGGAGGGGCCAGGTTCCGTCGGGGTGCACTGGCGGGGAGGACTTTCAGGCACGTCCCGCACATCCGCACTGCAAACCAGGCCCTGGCCCCCTTCCGCACCCGAAGGCACCCTCTCCACCTTTGCAGGGCTTTCCAATCAAAGCAACTCCAGAATGAAACTTCAGGATTGCAAGGAATGGAAGCCTCTACCAGCTGTTCGTTTGCGCGTCTTCCTTTAGAAAGCAGCTACCCCCCTCCCCCAGAAGGCGAGCTCTAAGGAACCTTGACGCAAACCAAAGCTCCGAGAGGTGGAAGGAGTTGCCCAGAGGCACCCAGAGAATTCGCAGATTCTGAGTTCTCCGTACCAGATGGTCTCCACTTTGTTCCTGTTCTGCAGGGTCTTGGTGGTTCTGAGAATTTTCGGGGCCACGCTCTTGCTGCGGGTCCCACTGGGCCACTCTGGCTGGCCGACTTTCTCTGCTCATTCGGCCTCCTTCTGCTAAGTTTCCATATTTGGGTATTTCAGATTTACTTTCATGAGAACTCAGTTATCTCGCTGTGGCAGGCAGAGCTGCCTCAGGCGAGCATTGAGGTTGGTGAAACCAGGCGAGGCTCCCTGCCAGGGCTGCCCCTGCAGCCCCCACCCTCCATAGCCTTGGGCTCTGACCCACCTCCTGTGAGGATAGGCATCTGGTAACCAGTTTAATTCTGTAAATATTTATTGGGCAGGTGCTGTGTGAGAACTGGGCTGGGGCCAGTGGAATATGGTTATTTCCTCCAGAGATACTTGCATTTTAAAAGGGCTCTGGAAGACCTGAGATGCAAAGAAATTAGTTGAACCATTTCTGGAAATAGAACAGTTTTGGGTGTGTGCGAGATAATTTTAGGCAGCAAAAGGCTGGGCTAGGAACTCTCAAATCCCAGTGCAGCTGCTCTGCCTTATGTACTCACAAAGCTGAAAACAGGGGTGTTAATGTAATTGATGGTTTGGGTGGAAACACTTCCATCCCTAACTCTAATTTGAACTAGAAAGACAGAAATTGCTGCAGGAACGATGGATGTAAGATGGAAGTGGAAAACGCCTAGCTTCTGTAAAGGTTTTTGATTTTGTTACAGTTACTGTTTTTGTTGTAACTCTATGGAATGGATCACCTCTCAGATCCCTGGCTCCTGGACAGAGGCAGGAGAAAGTGTCTGAGCCAGCATCTGGAACATGGGAAGTGATGGAGAAGGCGACTTCTCCCACGGCCTCTGGGCTGAGAGGCCTGTTGTGACGGGCAGGGTAGGATGGTGGTATTTCCCTCTGTCAGCAGCAAGCCCGCTGGACTTGGGTAGTAGGGCGATGGAAAGAGTGTGGAAAAGAGCTGCCGTCCACTGAACGTCCTGACGATAGGGACTGGGATGTTTCAGTGGGGATGATTTGCACAGTCGGGGAGCTAGATGCCTCAGAGTCAGTCTTGTTAGGCTTGCAGTGGGAAAGGCACCTCAGTACTTAGACAAACCTCCTCTGATTAGCTCAGCTTTACTGGGGAGGACCTTGAAGGAAAAATAATTATTTGTTTGTAAAGCTCGTTCCTTTGCAAAGCATTTTCTCTTTGTTCTTGTCGTTTTGTTCTCATTTCGTCCTCCATGACGCCCTCATGAGTTAGAGCAGGCTTATTCTCTACATCTCTCAGATTGTGAGGGTGAAGCACTGAGGCGGTAAATAGCTCCCTGAGCTCCACTGCTGGACCAGGATCAGAGCATTGAGGTGTCTTGTTCCCCTGCTCCAGGCCCCTCACCCTGGCTTCTCAGAGAGCCATATCTGCCCACCTCTTCCTCCGTCTGAGGGGTCAGCAAGGGGACCCAGATTCTGATAATGCCTCTGTGGTCTGTCCCCAGCAACATGGAGCAAGTTCTGCTGGAGACTCTGGCCTAACCACCACAAGAACAGACATCCACTCTGTTAGCTCTGCCTAGCCAGGCAAACTCCGGGCAAGACCCTTGTCTGTTTTCATGTGTGTCTTGGAACCTGGCATAGAGTAGGCCTAAACAGATGTTTGCTGAATCGAATTGAATTCATTCAGGGTACGTCTCCCTTGGGGTCTGAGCTGCCAGGAACAAGTGCTGGGTAGGCTTGGCAGAGAGAGGTTGAGCTCCCAGCAGGACTTGCTTAAATCCAGAAATTAGAATAACACTGTACAGCTTACGAGAAGCCCATCTCATCTGATTAACTTCTCACTACCTCCTCAGGAGAAGGGAGAGGCACATGCTATTCCTTCCACTTTACCTGGTTGCAAGCTGAGGCTCAGAAGTGATTTGAAAGACCTCACAGCATGTAGGGATGGGGCAGGACCTAATCCCAAGTCTTCTTTCTCCAATTCCTGTGTTTTTCCCATAGTATCTTAATTAAAGGAAGCCAGGATTCTGGGCAGGAGGAGGATGAGAGAACCAGCGAGACAGTCATCAAAAGCTGCCTGACACCTTTGTCACTGATCAGGGGTCAGTGTCTGACTCAGTCTCTGAAGAGCTTTTTTCTGCCCAGGTTGTGGCTTTTTCTGGGATTCTGGATAGGAGTTCTAGCTCCAGCAGAGGTGTAGCAAGTGAGTATCTGTGTGTGTTGGGGCAGAGGAGAACACGCTGCAGGGCAGAGGGAGTCCTCAGAGCTGGCAGGCCTCTGCTGCTGCTGCCGCTGCCACCACCCAGGAGTGGGCCAGCATGAATTTGTTGCCTTGCCCAGAGGAAAGCTTTATTTGAAGGATCACTCAGCAGCCTTGACCCATATGGCCTCCAGCAAGTCCTATCTTGTGAGAAAGTGGCTTGGAGGACCAGGCAGGAGATAAAAGTGAAAGTACTCATTAGTCCTGACAGAGGAACTCAGTCTGTTTACAGTGACAGTGGTGAGCACATTTTGCATATTTGTACCTGGAGGCAGGTGGTGGTGCATGCTTGGATCGTGCTGTAGCAAAAGCAGTATACATGCAAATGGTCTGTACACTGTGCAGTATCCGTGTGATGTGCAGGTCTTAGAGACCCAGTATTAAGTGACAGAGCCCAGTGAGTGCCCTCCCAGGATATCTCACTTACTTTCAGCAGAGCCCCATGTCTCATTTCTTGACACCACAGGCTCCATCAACTTCCCTCCTTACCAATTCAGAACATTCCTGAATTTTTTTCCATGGCTTTTTTTTTTTTTCTCTCAAGGAGAAAGTGCTCTCCTCCAGAACAAGGCGAGAGTACCTTTTCCACGTACACTCCCAAGTCAGCTCTCTCCTCCTCCCTCTGAGGCAGGTTCCCTCCCTGCCTCCCTCCCACAGACTTCTTCCCTCCCCCACAAGCTGAGTTTTCTGTTAGTAAGAAGACTCCATGTTTCCCCAGTCCCTCTTCTCTTTCTTTCACTGACAAGCTTCTGTAAAGAGTGGACAGCTCTTGCACTCGCTCCTCACTCGGCACCGTGCACCTGCTGCGCTGCTCTGATTGTCCTGTGTAGGTTTCCAGGACCTGGTACTCCTCAGTCACCAGCCCATACCAGCCCACGCTGCAGCTATTACTTATCTCCTTGGAGGTTGCTACACCGTCCCCACCAGCATTCCCTTCCTTGACCTCCAGCTTCTTATCCTCCTCTGTCCTGCAAGTGCAGGTATGGGGCCAAGGCTGGGTCCTCAGGTTGGATTTCAATTCTCTGTGCTTCTCTCCTTGAGCCCTTGGCCATTCCCAAGACTTAAACCAACACTTTTAAGGAAAGGCTGATCAAATTTCCATCCCTCACCCAGTTATCTTCTTGGCCACTATGATTTGCAATATTCAGAATCTTCACCATGATGTTTCAGAAGCACCTTAGACATTTGTCCGAGGCCGCCTCTTTCTCTCTGTTCTCTCTGTTGCAGAAATCGCTGCTGTTCCTCAGTCACCTTTATCCTGTCCCCCTCAGCCAGTCCTGATCTGTCTATTCCCAGTTCAGGGCCACAGGGACTCTTTCCTGGGCAACCTTAATTAAGCATTGACTCATTTTCCTGCCCCAGGTCCATCTGTATTCAATTTTCCTTTTCATGCTGCTGCAGAGGGGCCTCTTTAATACATAGCCTAGTCAAAACCTTCTACTTTCAATGATGGTGTAGTAGAAACAGTGTGGACTTCAGAATCTGGTGGGCCTGGGTTCATATCTGGGTTTATGATTTGCTGGTTGTAGTTATATAATCTGAGCAAGTTGCCCAACTTCCATAGTGTCTGTATTCCCACTGGTAAATAGAAATAGTAATGTGTGCCACTTGGGGTTGCTGGAAAGATTAAATGAGTCAATATATACACAGAGCCTGGAGTCTGGCAGATATTCAGTAAAACTGGTTTTCTCCTTCCATGTGGTTAATAGCCATAGAGCATTGTGGGGTTTCTGGGGAGCTGGAAACTGCATGCCTAGCCTAAAGGCATTCAAATTTAAATTAAAAACCAGCAGAAGAATTGCTGTGTGTCAGAGCAGGCCATCTTTTTTTTTTTTTGAGATGGAGTTTCACTCTTGTTGCCCAGGCTGTAGTGCAGTGGCACAGTCTCAGCTCACTGCAACCTCTGCCTCGCGGGTTCAAGTAATTCTCCTGCCTCAGCCTCCCAAGTAGCTGGGATTACAGGCATCCGCCACCACGGCCGGCTAATTTTTTGTATTTTTAGTAGAGATGGGGTTTCACCATGTTGGGCAGGCTGGTCTCAAACTCCTGACCTCAGGTGATCTGCCTGCCTTGGCCTCCCAAAGTGCTGGGATTACAGGTGTGAGCCACTGCACCTGGGCGAGTAGACCATCATTGAAACTAGCCTATTGCTGCCACTTTGCCATCTCTGGACCAGGTAGACCTCAGGGGCCAGGGTAGGGAAGCTGGGCTGGGACAGGGTATGGTGGGATAAGCTGGGATGAGTTCTTGGCAGGCAGAGGGGCCAGGCAGCCTCAGAGGCTGGGGCCCCATGGACCAGGTTTCAAGGGCAGGAGTCTAGTTTTCAGGACTTGTGGGCAGAGCAGGCGGCAGCTTTGGAGGAAGAATAGTGCTTGGCAGAGAGCCAACACAGGAAAAAATAAAACAGATTTGGAAAACAAAAATACAAGCTCTGGCTTGATAGCCAGGAGCAGACCAGTTACTTTAGCCAGATCCAATGTGAAGGCACAGCAGGATAAGGTTGACCTGATGCAAAGCCACCACCCAGAGCCCTTTCTGTTCTCCTGTACTAAGGCGTATGGCTTAGAACAGCCAGGCTGTGTTCTAAGGCTTCTGTTAGGGAGACCCTTGACCCTGGAGGATGGAGGGAGGTGGGTGGGGCTAAGCTAAGCGGCAGCCATGAAGGTCCCTCTTCTGTCTTCATGATTTTAGGATTTCTGAGGTAGAGGCTGGGTTGATATCTATGATGCAACCTAGGAAAACTTACCATGCCTCCCTGTTAAAGGCAGAATAATTTAATATAAAGCAAAGGCTTACATGCTCAGCAGATGCAGAATGAAAGAAGTGATTAAAACATTGGGTGGAGTTATTCCAGGAATAACCCACTAGGGAGTGAGGGGGTAGATAGGAGAAATGGAGGGGGAATATTGGACTTGAGCAAAGATGTTTTAAAAAGATGAAGAACATTTTAGTCACCCTTAATGAATGGGAAGTAGATTATTTGGGAGCAGACTGATTTCCTTATGTTAAGGTGTTTTATTTCAAAAGTCAGTACTTTGGGATGTTGCCTCAAATTATCTGTATCATTCCCACAGACCTCCCTTAGAGATATTTATTGCCATGTATTAGCTGTGGACAGCCAGAGGCTAAGTTCTTTCCCCACCTCTTTGATACTAACAGTTCCCATAGGGCCTATGTATGACTAAGTGGTTCACTTTCACTTCACTTACACTGGATCTTCCTAACAAGTGGACCTCTCTAGCCCTCATCTCTTCTACCTCGTAACAGAAGTGCTAGATTTTCTCATTAATTCTGTTCAAGCCTTGTTAAATAGCTCTAGGCCCTTCTTTTTTTTGTTTTGTTTTGTTTTGTTTTATTTTTGAGACGGAGTCTTGCTCTGTTGCCCAGGCTGGAGGGCAGTGGCGCCAACTCGGCTCACTGCAACCTCCGCCTCCCGGGTTCAAGCGATTCTCCTGCCTCAGCTTCTGGAGTAGCTAGGATTACAGGCGCCTGCCACCATGCCTGGCTATGTTTTGTATTTTTAGTAGAAACGGGATTTCACCATGCTGGCCAGGCTGGTCTTGAACTCCCAACCTCAGGCGATCCACTCCCCCCCCACTCCCCACTAGGCCTCCCAAAGTGCTGGGATTACAGGCGTGAGCCACGGTGCCCAGTCTTGTTTTGTTTTTTGAGATAGGGCCTTGCTCTGTCGTTCAGGCTGGAGTGCAGTGGTGCAATCTCGGGTCACTGCAACCTCCGCCTCCTGGGTTCAAGCGAGTCTGTCACCTCAGCCCCCCGAGTAGCTGAGATTACAGGCACCCACCAGCAGGCCTGGCTAATTTTTGTATTTTTAGTAGAGATGGGGTTTCACCACGTTAGCCAGGCTGGTCTCAACTCCTGGCTTCAAGTGATCTGCCCGTCTTGGCCTCCCAAAGTGCTAGGATTACAGGTATAAGCCACCGTACCCGGCCTAAGGAAAGGTGTAGGTCTTTCTACACCTGACTTGCCTATGCCTACCTTTTCTTACATCATTTCTCCTGCCTAGAATGCCTCCTGTTCAAAACCATTAATCCATACCCCTGCCACTCTTTTCAAAACAAATTCAAAATTCATCTCTTGTTAGGCTTCTTTGTTGGGGGTCCCCAAGACCATTCCCAGGTTCAGTGATTTGCTAGGAGAACTTACAGGATTCAGCATCCAGCAGATGGTCATACTCACAGCTATGATTCATTTCAGCAAAAGAATACAAAGCAAAATGAACAAAGGGAAAAGGCTTATGGGGCAAAGTCCAGGGGAGACCAGGTGCAAGCCTCCAAGAGTCTTGGAAAAGACTCTGCAAAGGACTGCCGAGGGGGAATCACACAGGATGTGCTGAATTTCTCCAGCAGTGCATTGTGACAGCAGGTGTGAAGCACTGTCTACCAGGGAAGCCCATTAGAGACTCAGTGCCCAAGGTTTTTACTAAGGGCTGGTCATGTAGATACCTTCATCTAGCACATGTCAGAATTCCAGCCTCCAGAAGAAAAACAGGTGTTCCACATAAAACACATTGGCTGGGCGCGGTGGCTCATGCCTGTAATCCCAGCACTTTGGGAGACCGAGGCGGGCTGATCACAAGGTCAGGAGATTGAGACCATCCTGGCTAACACGGTGAAACTCCGTCTTTACTAAAAATACAAAAAATTAGCCGGGCTTGGTGGCACGCACCTGTAGTCCCAGCTACTTGGGAGGCTGAGGCAGGAGAATCACTTGAACCCAGGAGGCGGAGGTTGCAGTGAGCCGAGATCGCACCACTGCACTCCAGCCTGGGGGACAGAGTGAGACCCCGTCTCAAAACAAAACAAACAAACAAAACAAAACACATTGTTTACCTAGATGGTTTAAGCACAGTGAGCCGCTCTTAGCAGTTCAGGTGGTGGGAGCCTTACTGAAATCCATGTTCCAGACACCAGCCAGGGGCCATCCTTGCGAGGAGAACTTTCTAGAGATAGCAGTATTAGGCTTGCTGTGTTAACTTGTTTCTGCATAGCTTTCCTTCATAATCTCATCTGTCCTGTCCTCCCAGTGCCTAACTATAGTTATGTTGTAGAGAAAATTGCCCTAGACAAAGAACCAGAAGACCTGGGTTTCAGCCCAGCATGGCCTCCTACTGCTGTGTGGCCCTTTGAACCCCTCAAACTCCATTTTCCTCATTGGGAAAAGAGGAATTGTAATTCTTGCTTGTAGGTCTCAATGGTGACTAAAGACCAAAGGAAATGATATAGTTGGTCATTCCTTCCATCCCCCATAATCGAGCACCTCCTTTATCTAAGGCAGTGAGTGAGCTGTGGTGAGTAAGACGTGAGTGTGACATGGTGGCTTTGACAGCAGACAAGCCTGAATCCCTACCCAGAGTTACCAGCTGTGGTACCTCAAACACCTTGTGTCATCCCCTCAGCTTTGGGTTCCCGATCTGTAAAATATGAAGATGAATAATACAATGAGGGTCTGCAAACGTGGGCTGCTGTGTGAATTAAGTGGGACAACCTATGTACATCTCCTGCAGTATCTAGAACATTATGGCACCCCAAGTGGCAACTGTTAATTGACTCAGATATTTGAGTGCTTGCTCTGCGTCTGCACCTTGAAAAATATAAGACACAATTCCAGCACTGCTTTCTTCGTGCTGGGGAAGACTATTATTGAACAGATAATTAATTACATAAACAATTATTTACATTCCCGGCAAGTGCTGTTAAGGAGAAGTACAGGTGGTTAAAGGGCATGTCATAAGTGGGGGGGACCCTAACTTGATGGAGGAGGCACACAGAGGCATGGCTGCATATGTGAGGCTTCATCTGGGCTTGTATGTGTTTAGCTCAGCAAGAGGTGGGGAGAGAGGAAAAGATGTTTCCGGAAGAGACAACAGCTTGAGGAAAGGGAGACCCAGCCTTAGGGTGAAGGCTGTAAGGGGGAAAGGTTCTCTGTTCATATGAGGAGTGGCAAAAAGACCAGGAATCCAGGAGAGGTGGAGGACAGGTGGGGAGATTGGCCTAATTCAGAGGTCACCTCTGCCGCCACCCTGGCAGGGAAGGGGCAGAGCAGGGGCCCCATGCAGGGAGATTTGCAGGTGTGGTGGCAGGAAGTAGAGGTGGTCTGGTCTGATGATCTCTGTTTTTTTTTGCTGTGCAGTAAGGAAGTAGAGTTTCCTGGTGAGACTGGAGGGAGTGGTCAAGGTTTGTGGAGGAGAGAAAGGTTTAAAATCAACATTGAACAGAGTGAGCTGAGAAGGAACAGCTGGCTTTGTGCTATGTTATTGTGTTGGCATGATGAAGTCTCTGGAAAAGGACTCTGGCAAATGGGATTTTAGATCTCTAGCACCTTGTACAATGCCTGGCACCTAAATGAGGGCCCCATAAATGTTGATTGCATTGAATTATTGGCTGGCTACCTATATACATTTTTCTCAGCATTTCCCCTTTCTCAGGTGCCTGCTACCCTTGGGCTAAAGCTTCCCACTTGGCACCTCACCCAGAGGCTAGCTCACATTAGTGTGTCAGAGGGAGCGCTGCTCAGGCTTTACTCTTCCGGTCCTAGTTGGCTACACTGTCCCCTCACCCCTTACAGTGACTCCCCAACTCCTACCCCAGGTCAGCCATCATGAGCCAGCCTTGCACTCTCCAGCTGGGACTGGTAGAATTTCAGGACTTACAAACAGGTGAAATGAAAAGGTTTAGGCAGTGAGAAGCGTGCTTAGCAGGAGAGAGGCTGCTCTGCTTGCTGGAGAATAGCTGTTACAGTCATTCTGTAAGTATTTACTAAGCACCTGTCATGTGCACTGTTTTGTTTGTCTGTTTGTTTTTGTTCTGTTTTGAGACGGAGTCTTGCTCTGTCATCCAGGCTGGAGTGCAGTGGTGTGATCTTGGCTCACTGTAACCTCCACCTCCCTGGTTCAAGTGATTCTTATGCCTCAGCCTCCTGAGTAGCTGAGATTACAGGCGTATGCCACCATGCCCAGCTAATTTTTGTCTTTTTGGTAGAGACGGGTTTCACCATGTCGGCCAGGCTGGTGTCAAACTCCAGACCTCAACTGATCCGCTCACCTCGGCCTTCCAAAGTGCCGGGATTAAAGGCGTGAGCCGCTGCACCTGGCCAGACCTCAACTGATCCGCTCGCCTCGGCCTTCCAAAGTGCCGGGATTAAAGGCGTGAGCCGCTGCACCTGGCCACGTGCACTGTTTTATGTGTTGGGACTTCAGTACCCAAAGAAACAATCCTTGCTGTGCTGGAGCTTATATTCTATTCTGATAGGGGAAGACAGAGAGCAAAGACATGAACAAGTAATATGTTAGGCAGTAATAAGTGCATTGGAGAAAAATGCAGTAGAAGGTGGGTCTGCCAGGGATGTTGCATTTTCCATGTAGGGTGGTCAGCAAAGGCCTCCCTTGTGAGATAACATTTGAGCAGGTTCCTAAGGTGAAGGAACAAGCCCTTCAGATATCAGGGTGAAGAGTATTCCAGGCAGGGGAAAAGCAAGCAGAAGCCTCTTCTGCTGTTCAAGAAGACGCAAGGCAGTGTTGCCAGAGTGAGTAGACAAGGGGGAAGGCACTAGGAAGTAAGGACACAGAGAATGGAGAGGCAGAGAAACGAAGGGCCCTGACCTCTAAGGACACTGGCTTCTACCCCGAGTGCAATGGGGCCATTGGAGCAGAGGAGCAGCAGAGACAGCTTCTGTTTTTAAAAGCATCACTCTGGCTGCTGGGTTGTGAATGGGCTGTAAAGGAGCAAGGCAGAGCAAGAGACCAGCTAGGAGACTGATGCAATAACCACTGGGGAGATGATGGCAGCTTAGGCCAGAGTGATTATGCTGACAGTGGCGAGGAGGAGAGGGGGGATATGTTGGGAAGGAAGATCCCATGGGCTTTGGTGTTGTGAGATGGAGAGTAAGAGAGGAGCCAAGGATCACTCCAAAGTTTTTGGTCCAAGTGACGCTGTGATTGGTGGTACCATTTCACTGAGATGGAGGAAGGCTATGGGAGGAGCAGGTTGGGTGGGGATTTGATGTGTTAAGTTTGTGATGCCTATTAAATGTGGAGGCATAGACTAAACAGTGGAGTGTGTCTGGGGCTCAGGGGAGAGGTCCAGATTGCAGATAGAAATCAGGGCATTGTCAGTCATAGCTGGTAAGGCCAGGAGCTGGGACGTGCTCACCCAGAGAATGAGTGCAGATAGAAGAGAGCAGGTCCAGCACCAGCCCGAAGCTCCAAGAGATAAGAGAAGGTGACCTGGAAGCTGCCACGATGATCTGACTGGTGCTCCTCACACTGTCATGAGCTGTAGAATCTAGCCTGGGAATTTGCTAGAAAATCAGATTCTAGTTGCTACTGAGAGATCATGATACTGAAGTGTATTAATCAGGGAAGGCTAAACTATTATAACAAATGGGTCCCCCTTCCTCTGGGGTAAGGTGTCCAAGCTAGCATTTTCATCATGTTCTAGAACAGATTCTTAGCAGAGCATCTGGGGCCCTGACTGCTCAGAGAGCTGCTGCTATAGTTTTGTGCATATGCATACGCATATCCCTACCTTGACTGAAAACTTCCTGGGGACAGGAGCTGTCTGGTAACCCACTCTCCTCCACTCCCATAATACAATAGGGCGCAGACTTTGCATGTGACCGGCACTGAATAAAGCTGGCTAGGAGGGCAGGGTGGAAATGCATGGTGATTAAGTGCTTATTTATGTGCCAGGAATTGTGTGATAATAATTTACGTGGATTAATTCATTTAATCTTAACTCCAAGCCTTTGTAGCAGGTACTATTATTGTCTTTTTTTTTGAGACAAGAGTCTCACTCTGTTGTCCAGGCTGGAGTGCAGTGGTGCAGTCTTGGCTCACTGCAGCCCCCACCTCCTGGGTTCAAGCGATTCTCCTGCCTCAGCCTCCCAGGTAGCTGGGATTACAGATGTGTGCCACCATGCCCAGGTAATTTTTATATTTTTAGTAGAGACAGGGTTTCACCATGTTGCCCAGGTTGGTCTCGAACTCCTGAGCTCAGACAATCCGCCTGCCTTGGCCTCCCATATTGTCCCATATTCTAGATGAGGAAGGGGTGACACAGGTAAGTGAATGGCAGAAGGGTTTGAACCCCAGCAGTCTGGCCCCAGAGCTGGTCTCTAACCAGTAAGCGGTACTGCCTGCCATCAAGCCCTCCTGTTTGGTGTTGGCTGCAATGGGGTACATTTTCTCCCAGCTGTGACAGAGTGTAGAGCACTGGCTTCGGAGTCAGAAAGTCTATATTCAAATCCCTGTGCCCACGCACTAGCTGTGTGATTTGGGGAAAGTTGTTTAACAACTTGAGGCCTCGGACTGTTCATTGGGAATATGATGATGATAGCAGTATTGCCACAGGGTTAGTGTGGAACTGTGTATGGTATTATATGTAAAAGTGCAGGCTGGAAATTACTAGTACATGTCAGGTTTTAGTTTTATTGGTATCATCATTATCTTGAGAAACCAAACTGTGGATCTCCTAGGACTAACCAGAAGAGCTGCCAGAGGCCTGCGGATTGCAGCAAATCCAACAGGCCCTGCTTCAACCAGAACAGGTATTCTGTATACTCTTACTTACTGATGTTTCTGCATGAAACTCGGTTTGGTAAGTTTCACTGTGAAACAGTGAAACCCTTGGGTAGCTGATCCCTTAAGTCCTTCCAGAGCTGACAGGCTCAGTTGTGGGGTGGGGGAATCCACTCCCCCAGTTCTACCTACTTCTCTTGGACCTCCTCTCTGGGCTCCCTACCTGCTCTCCCTCTTCTGTTGCCCTGATCAGGCCCTTGAGTCCCAACAGCCTGAGGGCTGCATTTTTTAAACCAGACTCTAGGATGCCTGCCTGTATGTGGGCAGGGCACCTGGGGTGTGCCTGGGGTGTGTCTGGGGTAGCCCTCCGCCAGGAAGCGTCTCTCGTCTGCTTCCTCTGTGGACTGGGCCAGAGCTGGCCTTGCTGTCAGGCGGGAGGGAATTGCCCTGTGTGCCTCTCACAACATGTACCCCAGCCACAGTCCTCCCAGCTCTGGGTAGTAGGCAGCTGGCAGTATGTCACACATCTGAGGTCAGCTTTGGAAATATAAACTTACACAAAGTCAGCTGTGGATGAGCATTTGTGGGAAGGTGGGGCACCGCTAGAATGATGTTGACCTTTGGTAGCTAAAAGTCACCAAAAGGTCATGCCACGGTTTCTAAATACTCATTGGCATTTCTGTTCTGTAGCCCGTCTAGGGTGGTCTCAGGTTTCTCCCCTTTCTTCAGAGTACCCTGAGGCCATGGAGGGTGGGGCTGGGCAAAGCCTGGGCTCAGTCCTCATTTGAAAATATTCCTGAATTCCAAGCTAAATCTAAACAGTTGTCTGTTGGCTGTGCATCCAAGCTCGAGGGGCCCCTGGAGCCTCATTCACTTTACGAGTGTTTGTGCTCTTTGTACTTGTTTTTGTTTTTGTTTTTTGAGATGGAGTCTTGCTCTGTCACCCAGGCTGGAGTGCAGTGGCACAATCCCGGCTCACTGCAACTTCCGCCTCTTGGGTTCAAGTGATTCTCCTGCCTCAGCCTCCCGAGTAGCTGGGATTACAGGTGTGCACCACCACGCCCAGCTTTTTGTATTTTTAGTAGAGATGGGGTTTCGCCATGTTGGCCAGGCTGCTCTTGAACTCCTGACCTCAGGTGATCCACCCACCTCGGCCTCCCAAAGTGCAGGAATTATAGGTGTGAGCTGTTGGGAAAAAGCTGAGTGTTGGGAGGGAAACTGAGGCAGGGCTTGCATAATGTCTTCGGGAATATGTCTAGACTTTCTGGCTCCTTGCTTCTAGCCCTCCTAGGCTCCTATTCCCATTATCTCAAGTAGCAGAACATGTTCCATATAAATGCTAAACCATCACAGCTGTAAATCATGTGCTTAATGCAACGTGTCCTTTTGACCTCCACATTCTTACCACCTGTTTCTCTGTTGGATTACCAATAAGTAGCGTGGGCTCCCAGAGCTGGCGGTCTTCGCAGCCTCCACAATCGCGATGGCCCTCTGGTGTCCCACCTTTATCTCTCAAACTGTCTTTTTCTCAGTCCTTTGACTCTGCTGGACTTTGTCACCCCCACGACCTGGTGCTGGGTCTGATCACCCCAACAGTGAGCCACCGCGCCTGGCCTCTTTGTACCTTCTTTGTAAGCAAGGAGGATGGTCAGGAAGGGGGAAGGGGGAGAGAAGTGTGAGTCTGAGATGACAGCCCCATAGCTCCATGCAGTGGGCACACCCACCCCCATTTGGGAATGTAGTTGAGGTGGCAGTAGGTAGCCTTTCCAATGAGGAGAAGCCTTTCCAATGAGGAGAAGTTCTTGAGCTGAGTCAAGAACAAAGGGCAGAAGGCTGACCTAGCTTTGGGGAACCCTGCAGGAGTGGAATGCTGACAAGGAGCCACCAAGAGGTGTGGTTCAGAGCTGGGAGGAGAACCAACAAACACAGAACCCTAGGGCCAAGGGATCAGGGAGTTTCAAGAAGGAAGTGCCAAATGTCACATAAAGGGCAGGAGGGCAGTGATTTAGGAGAGACTAGTCAGCAAATGTGATGATGTGATTACAGTTTAGATCATCAAACTAACATAATATGCTTTCCCAGGCTGTATATGGCCTCATATACCACATGCCCAGATGATTTGGGCCTGCCGACTTATTCCAGGTAGAGTACAGATAAGCTTGGGAGGGCCAGGGAGGCTTCAGAGAGGCACTGATGGGATCTGATAAAGGACACAGGTCTGTGGGTGCCACCTGGAAGGTGTGTTTCCATCGGGCATTGCTCTGGAGCTGGGAATGGGAAGGAGAGAGGGGAGAAAGAGGTTGATGGGGCATTGCCGGGCTGAGGATGGAGAATGGGCCAGAGCTCCAGGGGGTGGGGAATTTGGGCCCATGTGCTGCATTTTTGTTTCCTCATCAGTGTCTGCCTATGGTAGGTTCCCAGCAAAGAAATGATTTACAAAAAGTGACTGAATCAATAAATGTTTAGCGCGAGATAGTCCAGTGTAACCATGAATTCAAAATTGGGTGAAATGAGAAGGCAAATAGCATGTCAGGCAGTCAGGTTATCTCAGAGTGGGGGACATTGATGGAGAGACTCAGGGGCAAGTGCTTATTAATAATAGCCCTTATGACACCTCTGTGTACTACCACTATAAGTTCTTCATGCATAGAGGGGTCAGCAAACTTCTTCTGTAAAGAACCAGGTAGTAACTGTGTATTTGAGGCCTTGTGGGCCATATGGTCTGTGGGGCAACTGCTCAGCTCCTCTGTGGTAGCACATAAACAACCATAGACAATATGTAAATGAATGAACATGGCTGTGTTCTAATAAAACTTTATTTACAAAACATGTGATGGGCCAACCCCTGATGTATATAGTATTGACGTATTTAATCTTAAGAAGTTCTATGTGGTAACTACTGTTATTATCACCATTTTATTTTGTTTTTTGATATATTTTTCTTTTTTTTGAATTGTGATAAGTCCTACTTTTTTATTTTTATGGGTGTGTATTAGGTGTATATTGGCTACATGAGATATTTTGATATGGGCATACAATGCATAATAATCACATCAGGGTAAATGGGGTATCCATTATCTCAAGCATGTATCATTTCTTTGTGTTACAATCATCCCAATTCTTTTAGTTATTTTTAAATGTACAATAAATTATTGTTGACTATAGTCACCCTGTTATCAAATACTAGATTGTATTCTATACGATTATTCTGACTATATTTTTGTACTCATTAATCATCCCCACTTCCTCTACCCAACACTTCCCCCACCCCACAACTACCCTTCCCAGCCTCTAGTAACCATCCTTCTACTCTCTGTCTCCATAAGTTCAATTGTTTTAATTTTTAGCTCCCACAAACAAGAACATGTGAAGCTTGTCTTTCTGTGCCTGGCTTATTTCACTTAACATAATGTCCTCTAGTTCCATCTATGTTGTTGCAAGTGATAGGATCTTGTTCTTTTCTATGACTGAATATTGTGTATAGGTACCACATGTTCTGTATCCATTCATCTGTTGATAGATGCTTAGGTTGCTTCCAGATCTTGGTTCTTCAGTGTTGCAGTAAACATGAGAGGGCAGATGTGTCTTCAATATTCTGATTTCCTTTCTTTTGAATATATACCTAGCAGTGGGATTGCTGGATCATATGTAGTTCTGTGTTTAGTTTTCTGAGGAACCTCCATACCGTTCTTCATAGTGGCTGTACTAATTTACATTCCTACCAACAGTGTATGAGGGTTCCCTTTACTCCATGTCCTGTCCAGCATTTCATTATCATCGTTTTACAGATGAGGAAACGGAGAAACATAGCGACTAAGTAATTTGCCTGAGGTCACGTGGCTATGAAGGGGTATGGGCAGGATATGAATCCAGGCAAGTCTACTCCAGAGTTCATGCTGGTAATTGTCATGCCATGCTGACTCTTGGAACCTTGGAGGGGCAGGGAGGAACCCCAGCTCTTCATCCCCTGAGGGCCTCCACCACTACCTGGCAGTAGGAGCTCACTAGGCCTCCATTTCCTCATTTTAAAAAAAGGGGAATAATGATAATATATATATCATATCATATATCACCCTGTCTCCTACGCTGGAGTGCAGTTGTGCCATCATAGCTCACTGTAGCCTTGACCTCCTGGGCTCAAGCAATCCTCCCACCTCAGCCTCCGGAATGGCTGGGATTACAGGTTTGAGCCACCACACCTGGCTGAGGGGTTAAAATGAGCTAATGCATATAATTAGCTGTCTCTGTGCTTGGACATAGCCTCAGTACTTGTAATCCTAACCCATATCTGACTCCAGCCTTAGGCTCCATTCACTTCTTTTAATACCCTTCTCTTGCCCTCTGCCTCAATCGGAACTCTCCTAGATTGTCTTCACGGCCCTTTCTCACTGTGGCCTCACAGTGACTCGGAGTTTCCACACTGATTATTGAGTCATCTGAGTTATTGGGTACTCTGGCCTGGGGACTAATGGGAGCTCGAGGAACTGTCCCTAGGTAGCAGTGGGGACTGTTACAGAGCTGGAGCCAAGGATGGGGGCTTCCTAGTGGAGAACAAGGCTTCCTAGTGGAGAAAGCTGCTGTGTGGGAAGATCAGTAGAGCTTTCTTTGTTATTTTTTCCTCTTGGTCTGGTTTCTGAGAGCAAATCTAAAGGTCTCCTGGATACCTTAAAAGTACCACCTGGAGTCAGGTAGACTCTACATGGTTCTGAGGAGAAGAGTTCCACTAAAGGCATCTCTGTAAGTGGGACTGACTTGAGGCAGCAGCAGCTTTCGTCAGGCCAGCATGGGTGTGCAGCCTGGAGGGTTGGGGGAAGAGGGATGCCCTTCAGCCTTTGCACTCCCATCTACTCACTGTCAGTGCTTGCTGTACCGCCAGGAGAATGGGGAACCAGAGGTTTCCTGACAACTTGGAGAGAAGTCACAGTTCTCTTTAAAGTAATTAAAATTATACTCACATCATTGTTTGTCCTGTTCCCAAGACAACTTCCTTCTGTGAAGACATAAGGAAAAGCAAAGAAAACATACCCTTATCTCTGCCTCTAAGACATCAAAGCCAGTCATCCTGGGGCAAGAACAGTGCGTCGGTGGACTGTGGTCACATGTTGTCTGGTTGTCGTGGTGTCACCTGGTCTCTGCATGAGCTCCCAGCCACATTAGGTGTAATGGAAAATGGCCTTATTGGTTCTCCCTTTCTCCAAGGCCTTCGTCTTTGACCTGCCTGGTTAAAGGGGTTTCTTCTTCAGTTTTTGAGGGAAGGCCTCTTTAGGCCATCACAGACAGAAGCTTTGGAAAAACTGTGAGACCATTTCAGTTCTCCTTTGTGCCAGGAGGATAGCCTAACAGATAAAGTGCTTTCTCCTCCTTCGTTTTCCTTTCCTTTTTTAAGTTAAGGTCTTTCTCTGTCGCCCAGGGTGGAGTGCAGTGGCGTGAACAATGAACACGGCTCACTGCAGCCTCGACCTCCCAGGCCCAAGCGATCCTCCTGCCACAGCCCCCCAAGTCGCTGGGACTACAGGCGTGCACCACCACACCCTGCTAATTTTATTTATTTATTTATTTAGAGACATAATTTTGCTCTTGTTGCCCAGTCTGGAGTGCAATGGTACAATCTCGGCTCACCGCAGCCTCCTGGGTTCAAACGATTCTCCTGCCTTAGCCTCCCAAGTAGCTGGGATTACAGGCATGCGCCACCATGCCCAGCTAATTTGTATTCTTAGTAGAGACAGGATTTCTCCATGTTGGTCAGGCTGGTCTTGAACTCCCGACCTCAGGTGATCTACCCACCTCGGCCTCCCAGAGTGCTGGGATTACAAGCATGAGCCACTGCACCTGGCCAACTAATTTTTGTATTTTTTGTAGAGATGGGGTTTTGCCATGTTGCCCAGGCTGGTCTCATACTCCTGAGCTCAAGCAATCTTCCTGCCTCGGCCTCTCAAAGTGTTGGGATTACAGGCTTGAGCCACTGTGCCAGCCCTGCGCTCCCCCCCCCTCCTTTTTTTTTGCTTCCTGGTAGTAACTGTTCTTCCTGGAAGAGCAGAATCACAGGATTCAACGCCAGCCATGACCTTGAGAGAGAACTGCCGATCCTAGCAGGAGAGCATCTGGAACCCACCGAGGGCATGGATTCCAGAGACCCGTTGGGTCACTGCATCTTGGGATTGAACATTTTAACTTTTCTTTATCACCAGCCACAGTCTCTCCTCTTTAAGCCCAGGACCCATTGGTGGGCCTTGGGTGGGTTTGGGGAATAACATATTTGTATCCTTCCCATGCTGCTCAAGTGGGTATTAGGCAGTTGACCAACACTGCCAGCAAGACCTGAGCAGAGCTGAGAAATGGACAGTTTGCCTTCTGGCAGCCTGTCCACAGAGAGAGGGGCCATCTGGTGTCATTAGAGCCATGGAGGAGCACCAGTCACTGTTGAGATGCTGCCCAGCACCCAGGGATCGGGGAGAGATCCCCTGGCTTGCCCCTCTTCCCACTCTTCCCATCCCAGTGCCTCTCATTGGCTGAACCTAACCAGAAGCCAGGGAGCCTGGAAAACAGTTTGCGGCATCAAATTTCACCCTACCTCATGCTGCAGAGCTAAGCAGAGCAAGAGTAGGGGGTGGATCTGGGCAAACAGGCAAATGACTGGCATGTTCCCTTAATTCCACTTCAGCTACAGTTAATTGCTAACCATTCTAGAACTTTTGTGATAGCAGGAAATTCTTTAACCTCCTTCATCTAGAAAATGCCTCCTCTTTCTTCAAGACCAGCTGAGATGATTTCTTCTCTGTGAAATCAGCACAGACACCTCAGAAATTGTTAGCTACCCCTCACCTAGGCTGTACCAGTTCTTTGTCGAAATCTCTGTTTGTGGTACTTGCCAGTGGGATATTGTAATTGATCATTTTTGTGCCTTATTTCTTCTGTCCTTGGAGGGACTCAAGGGCAGATGCAACGTCACAGCCTCTGCATTCTCAGGACCTAACCCAGGATCAGTGCAGGGATGTGCAGATGAGTGGGCTGTGGGGTGTCCTGCTCACGGTTTCATGGATGGTGAGTGGCAGAGCAGAGACAGAGGTCTCTGGTCCTGTGCCCTTTTCACTCTGGGATTTTATCTGTAGTAATCAGTAATTCCCCAAGAATCAGAACTTGAAAACCCTGAAGACAAATTTTGTGGACTTATGTCTTATGCACTATAACATAATATATTTAAAAATTCCCCAGTTTTTCAAATCTTCATTAATCCAAACTGGATGTTGGCAGGGGTATGGAGGTGGTATGGATAGACAGAGCAGGATCTACCTTTCTTTGTTAAACCTTAAACTCTGCAAAATACATATCTTTTTTGTTATAACTGAAGGCTAAGCTCACGTTGCTTCAGAATGTGAGAATATTTGTCATATGTTCTCCAGAAATGAATCCGTAGAGATACGTAAGTAAAGAATGTAAATGGTGGCATCCACAGCTTTCCTTTGGAATTCCTAAAAAATTCTCATGGAAAAGATGCATCAATTTATGAAACAAGAAGATGGCATTTCAAAGAAACTCAACAAGAGTTCTTAGGGAATAGATGGGATGTGACTTTCTTTTGTCTCTTTTGGCTTGAGTTAACAACTCTTCAGTAGGAGTACCACACTGTACATCCCATTGATGGCAAGAATACGAATGCCATTGACTGCAGAAAGGTGATATATAAGCTCTATTTTTAGCAGTTTTGATATGTTTTTTTTTTCCTGACTTGCAAGAACTGAGCTGCTTTGTTGTTCCTGTTACGTAAGCTGTTATACACAGAGGGGAAAGATTTTAATAAAATGGAGTGCTTACTCATTTCCACTAAATAGCTGCCTGGGAATGACAGAATACCAGCTGAAAGTATCTAATTAATTAGATAAATATATTTGTTAGGTAAAGAAGCATAGCCTTTCTAGTTCTGCTGTTGGGCTCTCTCATGTCAGTGAACAAAGTGGGTCCAGGCTTGAGGAAGCTTCAGAAGGAGACGGATCCTGCCCTGGGAGGCATCACAGCTCTGTTTATATACTAGAACCTCACCCAGAAAGACACCTCAAGTCCACATCTCATGGCCGAACATAAATGCTTATTTTTCTACAATGTGTTATGAGATTAAAAACCCAATTTCATAAAAACAAATAGTGGACAAGACAATAACCGATTAGAGAGTGAACAAGGTCAGTGAATGACTTAGGCCTGTTGAATAGGTCTGGGAAATACACACATGGATGGGGAGAGGAAGGATGGGGCATTCAGTCCTCTGCTGGCTGTTCAGCAGGAGCAAGGAGACTGTGAGAGTCACATGTGCTGTGTCTGCCAGGACAAAGCTGACAAGACATGGGCCCACACAGCCATCTAATAGAGCAGTGGTTTCCAAAGTGTGCTTCAAGGGCCCCTGGGGTGCTGGAGCAGCTCTTACTAGGAAGTCACTTAATGGACTCTTACTTCAGGTGAGTTCAGGTAAGAGCCAATTGTGTGCATCTCTTTCCCAGTTCCAGTTCAGTGACCTTTTTCATTGTTACCTTGAAATTAGCCATAGTGGAAGTGTTTAACCACAGAAATCGGCAAATGCTACAAGCTGGAGCTTTCCCCCAGTTGAGCAGATTATTAAATGTTTACTAGCACAGCACTGCTTGGGGCTCCCTGACACACTTTCAGGGGATCTGCATGGTCAAAACTATTTTCATAATAGTACTGACATCGTTTGCCATTTGTACTCTCCTTTTACAAATGCACAGAGATGTTTCCCTGAAGCTAAATGATATATGATATGCAACAGACTGAATGTAGGAGCAGACATGAGAATCCAGCTATCTTCTATTAAGCAACACATTAAAGAGATGTGCAAACATGTAAAATGGTGGCACTCTTCTCACTAATTCTTTTGTTTTGGAAAATGGTTATTTTTCATAAAAATATTTGTATTAACATATAATTGGCTTATTATCTTGAAGTAAATACTTTTAAAATTCCTCAATTTGACTCTCAAGTATGGTAAATATGAATAGATATAATTTGCGTAAACAAAAACTCTTAGGGGTCCTCCATTAAAAAAAGACAAGATTTTCTTTTAGAGCAGTTTTAGGTTCACAGCAAAATTGAATGGAAGTCTGTTTATCCATTCTTTCTTTCACGGATTGTGCCCTTGGTGTTGTACCTAAAAAGTCATTGTCAAACTCAAGATCCTCTAGATTTTATCCTGTGTTATCTAGTAGGAGTTTTATAGTTTTGCATTTTACATTCATGTCTGTGATCCATTCTGAGTTAATTTTTGTGAAGGGTGTCAGGTCTGTGTCTAGCTTCATTTTCTGTTGTAGATGTCCAGTTGTCCCAGCACCATTTGTTGAAAAGATTATCTTTGCATCATTGTTTTGCCTTTGGCCTTTTGCCAAGGGTCAGTTGACTATATTTATGTGGATCTATTTCTGGGCTCTTTATTCTCTATATTCTTTATAATCAAGTATAATAAGTTTTGAAGTTGGGTAGTGTCCATCCTATGGATCTTTGGCTCCTCAAGTTTTAAGAGTGTTATCTTAGACCAGGTGCTGTGGCTCATACCTATAGTAATCCCATTGCTTTGGGAGGCTGAGCTGAAAGGATTGCTTGTGGCCAGGAGTTCAAGACCAGGCTGGGCAACATAGTGAGACTCTGTCTCTAAAAAAAAAAAAAAAAAAAAAAAATTAGCCAGGCGTGGTGGCACGCACCTGTAGTCCTAACTACTGGGGAGGTTTAGGTGGAAGGATCACTTGAGCCCAGGAGTTGGAGGTTACAGTGAGCCATGGTTACACCACTGCACTCCAGCCTGGGCTACAGAGTGAGACCCTGTCTCTGAAAAGAAAGAAAAAACAAGAGTGTTATCTTAGTCTGTTTGTGTTGCCATCACAAAATACCTCAGACTGGGTAATTTATAAAGAACAAAAATGTATTTCTCACAGTTCTGAAGGCTGAGAAGTCCACAATCAAGACACCAGCAGATTCCGTGTCTGGTGAGGGCTCACTTTCTGCTCCCAAGATGGCAGCTTATTGCTGCATCCTCCAGAGATGAACACTGTCCTTACATGGGGAAAGTTGGAAGGGCAAAATAACCTAGCTAGTTCCTTTGAGCCCATTTTAAGGTCACTGGTCCCATCCGTGGATACAAAGCCCTCATGACTTAATCACCTCCTAAAGGTCCCACCTCTTAATACTATCACACTGGACCTTAGGTTTCAATATACGAATTTTGGGGGGGACACATACATTCAAATCATAGGGGGTCCAGAGACCGAAAAGTTGGAGAACTACTGTTGTAGCAAAAGATGGACATACACACAGATGAGTGCCATAGATTCTTGTGTTAGGGAGAGTGCAGAGTGTAGTGGAGGGAACCTGAACTGAGTTTTGTACATCCTACTGCCTTATTCTGGGGACTGAATGAGCCTGTTGCTTTAGGATACATCTCTGAGAGTCCAAATTTAGATACTGTGTGACAGACTTGGGCCTGGCCTCAGAAGAGAATCTCAGAAGGACATAGAATATGACATCAGGGCACAGGATGCGAAGTGCCAACCTCCGCAGGAATGAGGGAACACAAGGCAGAGCAGGGCAGTTTGAAAGTGGTTCTTCCAGTTCTCTGAGAGAAAGGTGGGGCTTGGTTATTAGGGCTGTGCATGTAAATAAAATGTTTTGCCTCTTCATCTTCAGAATTAAAACTTTTGTTAAATCCCAAGAGTCAACCATGTTACAGGAGGGAACATTTGTATCTTATACTGCTTACCTACCACCCTTGAAGTTTTGCAGGAAACACTAGGGAAAAGGTGGAGCTTTGGTCTCAAACCCCAGGCTTTTTTTTTTTTCTTTCTTTTTTTTTTTTGAGACAGGGTCTCTCGCCCTGTCACCCGGGCTGGAGTGCAGTGGCATAATCATGACTCGCTGTGGCCTCCACCTCCCAGGCTCAAGTGATCCCCCCCTGCCTCAGCCTCCCAGGTAGCTTGTGCGAAGGCCCTGTGGCATAGAGTGTGGTGTATTAGAAGAACAAAAACAAAAACAAAAACAAAAACAAAAACCCTGTGTGGCTGGAGTACGGAAAGCCAGGAAAGAGAGGTCCAGGATGGTGCTGTACTGGGGAGGATACAGTCTTGAGCCTGCTTAGCATTGTGGACTTTCTCTCAGAACCTGGGAAGCCACTAAAAGATGAAGGGAGATAACCTAACATTGTACTTGACATTTTGAAAGTCTCATCCTGGCTATAGTATGGAGAGTAGATTGGAGAAGAAAGCAATTAATGAACTCATATTTAGTTCAGGTGAGAAATGATGTGGCTTGGTACTTGTCTTAGCTTGGGCTGCTATAAGAAAGCACCATAGACTAGGTAGCTTATAAACAACAGAGGTTTCTGACAGTTCTGGAAGCTGAAAGCCCAATATCAGCGTGCCAGTGTGGTTGGGTTCTGATGAGGTCCCTCTTCCGGGCTGCAGACTTAACTGCTGTATCATCACATGGCAGCAAGAGGGCCAGGGACCTCTCTGGCCTCTTTAGAGAGGAGGTCTCGCCATGTTGCCTGGGCTAGACTCGAACTCCTAGGTTCAAGCCATCTTCCCACCTCAGCCTCCTGAGTAGCTGGGACTACAGGTGTGCACCACCATTCCCTGCTCTCTCTGTCTCTGGCCTCTTCTTTTTTTTTTTTTTTTTTTGAGACGGAGTCTTGCTCTGACACTGGAGTGCAGTGGCGCCATCTCAGCTCACTGCAATCTCTGCCTCCTGGGTTCACGCCATTCTCCTGCCTCAGCCTCCCAAGTAGCTGGGACTACAGGCACCTGCCACCACGCCTGGCTAATTTTTTGTATTTTTAGTAGAGACGGGGTTTCACCGCGTTAGCCAGGATGGTCTCTATCTCCTGACCTCATGATCCGCCTGCCTCAGCCTCCTAAAGTGCTGGGATTATAGGCATGAGCCACTGCGTCCAGCCTTCTCTGGCCTCTTCTTATAAGGGCACTAATCCCATTCATGAGGGCTCCACTCTCATGACTTCATTACCTGCCAAATGCCCACCTCCTAATACTGTCACATGGGGGGTTAGAATTTCCACATATAAATTTTGGGAGGAATACAAACATTCGATCTACCGCAATGGCAGTGATAGATACTGTGAGTAATATATTTGTGTGCAAGGAGTCATTGCCAAACTCAAGATCATCTAGATTTTATCCTATGTTATCTAGTAGGAGTTTTATAGCTTTGCATTTTATGTTTATGTCTGTGATCCATTCTGAGTTCATTTTTGTGAAGGGTGTCAGGTCTGTGTCTAGCTTCGTTTTCTGATGTGATGTCCAGTTGTCCCAGCACCATTTGTTGAAAAGACTTATCTTTGCATAATTGTTTTGCCCTTTCTCCTTTGTCAAAGGTCAGTTGACTGTATTTATGTGGGTCTATTTCTGGGTTGTCTATTCTGTTCCCTGGATCTATTTGTCTGTTCTTTTGATAGTACTACACTGTCTTGATTACTGTAGCTTTATAATAAGTTTTGAAGTTGAGTAGTGTTAGTCCTCCAGCTTTGTTCTTCTCCTTCAATATTGTGTTGCTGTGTTGGGTCCTTGGCTCCACAGGTTTTAACAGTGTTATCTTAGGCCAGGTGTGGTGGCTTACCCAGTACTTTGGGAGGCTGAGCCACAAAGATCACTTGTGTCCAGGAGTTCAAGACCAGGCTGGGCAGCATAGTGAGACCCTGTCTGTGGTAGTCCGTTTTCATGCTGCTGATAAAGACATACCCAAGACTGGGCAATTTATAAAAAAGAGAGGTTTAATGGACTTACAGTTCCATGTGGCTGCAGACGCCTCACAATCATGGCAGAAGGCAAGGAGGAGCAAGTCACGTCTTACATGGATGGCAGTAGGCAAAATGAGAGAGAGCTTGTGCAGGGAAACTCCACCTTATAAAGCCATCAGATCTCATGAGACTTATTCACATGAGAACAGCACAGGAAAGACCATGATTATATTACCTCCCACTGGGTCCCTCCCACAATATGTGGGAATTCAAGAGGAGACTTGGGTGGGGACACAGCCAAACCATGTCACTGTCTCTAAAAAAAAAAAAAAAAAAAAGTTTTTTTTTTTTTTTAATTGGCCTGGTGTGGTGGTGTGTGCCTGTAGTGCCTGTAGTCCCAGCTACTGGGGAGGGATCAGTTGAGCCCAGGAATTGGAGATTACAGTGAGCCATGATCACACCACTGGCCTCCAGCCTGGGCTACAGAGTGAGACCTTGTCTCTGAAAAAAAGAAAAAAAGTATTAGTCTGTTTGTGCTGACGTAACAAAATACCTCAGACTGGGTAGTTTATAAAGAACAGAAATTTATTTCTCATAGTTCTGGAGGCTGGGAAGTCCAAGTTCAAGACACCAGCATGTTCAATGTCTGGTAAACGCTTGCTCTGTGCTTCCAAGATGGTGAGAAATATATTTGTCTGCTTCTAAAAATTTTAACAAAACCTGTGTTTCCATTCTCTCATTGAGTGGAAGAAAAATTCCTAACAGTTTACTTATAATGTAATTAACACACCTGGCTATATTTTGTCCAAGCATATGGCCAAACTGACAGGGTAATTTAGCACCCTGTAAAAGACTGATGGACAAAGAACTGAATCTCGTAGAATCTTGCTAGAAGTCATCTGGTCCAGCCTCTAACCTGAGCACCCCAAAGACATTGCACCTTTGCCGGAGCCCCCTAGTGGCAGGAGGTTGTCACTGTTGTTTCAGAGTCACAACAGAATGACCATGTGAATGATGTACACTAATTATGAGACAAATAACCAAAGCATCTGATGGCTGTGGTTGTTTCAGTGTTTGCACACTTAATTTTCCCTCTCCTCCCCTGACCTCTGCAGAATGGCTTATTCAGAAGAGCATAAAGGTATGCCCTGTGGTTTCATCCGCCAGAATTCCGGCAACTCCATTTCCTTGGACTTTGAGCCCAGTATAGAGTACCAGTTTGTGGAGCGGTTGGAAGAGCGCTACAAATGTGCCTTCTGCCACTCGGTGCTTCACAACCCCCACCAGACAGGATGTGGGCACCGCTTCTGCCAGCACTGCATCCTGTCCCTGAGGTGAGTGGGCAGGGCCTGCAACTCTGGCCATGGCAGTCCTAGCATCCAGGTGGCAACTGTGGCCACTCAACTGTTTTCATGGGTTTTGGAGTTGTTTTACTTGGCCACAGAACCATGACTGTAAGGAAGGACTCTCCCAGATCCCCTCTGTGAGGGCCTGAAGAATAATCATTTTTTGGTCACTAATTTACAGATATTTACCTTTTCTTAAAATTCAGACTGTACCTGCTTTGCATGGGACAGCAGACCTAGACACACACTCCATCATGGGAGCTGGCTGTGGAGAAGGGCTTGAATCTCACAATGTCTGTGTTGTAGTCACCCCAATCTTCCCTTGCCTTGAGGCAGAGGTGCTGTGGCACCTAGAAGGGACCTTGCTGCCATGGATGCTGTCCACTCCTGGGCAGCTGTAAGACCTGGGTCATACTGTGTTGAGGGAGGATACCAGGAGAGATGTGGAAGCAGGTACACTTTGGGGGGTTATATAGGAAGCAAGGCAGTCATTTTACCCTGCCAAGCTTTGAAAGGGGGTTATTACAGCACATCCTCATTCCCTCATGTGTTTGTGCCTTCAGCACCTGTGTGTTCTGTGCTGTCATGCTGAAGAGCTACAATGTGGAACAGGACCCCATGTCTGCCCTCTAGAATGTCCCAGTCTAGAGGAGACAAATGTGGCACAGCGTGATAAACAAAGGACAGGGGGCATTCAGCTCTGTCCAGGGACTCACTGACTGCATCCCAGAGGTTGCATGAAGTTTTTCAGGCAAACTGAAAGAACAGGAAGGTGCTGAAGGAGGGGTACAGGAGGCCCCTTCTGGGTAGAGGGAACAGCATGTGCAGACAGGGACCAGCCTGCCCAGGGCTAGAGCATGGCTGGAGCCCTGGGGCTGGTCTTGGAAATGCTGTTGAGGTAAACAACTAACTCTGGCTCCATTTTAATTTTTTTCTCCAGAGAATTAAACACAGTGCCAATCTGCCCTGTAGATAAAGAGGTCATCAAATCTCAGGAGGTAAGAAAGTCACTGCTTTTGTCTAGCAGCTCTCAGGGTGATGGAGAAGAAGTCAGTGAATTGGACATTGAGATAGGAGCAGGAGAGTGGTCGAGGGAGACCTTCCTTGGAGTCCATATTCTTCTGCTGTGGGGTCACATCAGACCCTACTCGTAGCCCTGTTTGAGAGGCTTGTTTGGGTCTTTATTGACCACACCCCTCCTCCACCCCAAGTCTCCTCTCCTGCTTCTTCCTCATCCCCTTCCTACACTGGCTCCAGCTAATATATTTCATTATGGTTTTGATTTGCATTTTCCTGTTGGCTAATGAAGTTGAGCATTTTTTCATGTGCTTATTGGCTATTTGTACATCTTCTTTGTTAAAAATGCCTATTTAGTTCCTTTGCTCATTTTAAAAAATTGAGTTATTTACCTTTTATTGTTGAATTATAAGAGTTATTTATAGCCTGTAATCCTAGCACTTTGGGAGGCTGAGGCAGGCAGATCACATGAGGCCAGGAGTTTGAGACCAGCTTGACCAACATGGCGAAACCCTGTCTCTACTAAAAATACAGAAATTAGCTAGGTGTGGTGGTGCATGTCTGTAATCCCAGCTACTTGGGAGGCCGAGGCACAAGAATCGCTTGAACCTGGGAGGTGGGGGTTGCAGTGAGCTGAGATCATGCCACTGCACTCCAGCCTGGGTGACAGAGCAAGACTCTGTCTCAAAAAAAAAAAAAGTTCTTTATATATTCTGGATATAAATCTCTTAGCAGACATTTGGCTGCTAAGATTTGCAAATATTTTTCTTCCATTCTGTGGGTTGTCTTTTCCCTTTCTTGATCGTGTGTTTGAAGCACAAAAAATTTTCATTTTGATGAACTCTAATTCATCTATTTCTTTTTTCTTTTTTTGGTTGCTTGTTCTTTTTTGGTGTTGTATCTAAGAAACGATTGTCTGTTCCATTGTCATGAAGACTTTCTCCCTTAAAACTCCTCTTTAAGTTCAGTTTTCTTCCTTTAAGATTCTGTTGCAGGATGTTCAAGCAGAAGCTTTCCTTGAGCCTCTAGTCTGCTGTACACGCATCTTCTCTATACTCCTTATGAGGTGTTTTGCAAATACCTACAACACGGCTGTGCTGCATTTAGTGTCTGTCTGACCTACTATCCAGGGGTTGGCATACTACAGTCTTGGGACAAATCCAGCCTGCTACCTGTTTTTGTATGGCCTGTAAGCTAAGAAATTCTTTTTATGTAATGGTGGGTGCATAGAAACCCTCATATTTTTGCAACTTCTTGTGAGTCTTAAACTACTTCAAAATAAAAATTCATTTTAAATAATCCAAAGAAGAAAGTTTGGTGACATGTGAAATTCAAATTTCAGTGTTCATAAATAGTGTTTTATTGGAATGTAGCTGTGCCCATTCATTTAAGTATTGTGTATGGAAAAGTTGAAATGTGGCAACAGAGATGATCGTGATGTGGACTATCTGACCCCTTACAGAGAATGTTTGCCGACTCCTGGTTTGCGCTAAAATAGCAAGCCAGCACAGCCTCAGTGACACTGTCTGATAAGTAATACATTTACCCTGGGACAGGAAGCTGAAAGCATCACCCTTGGCCAAGCTTCACCTCCTGACCTTTAAGAATGTGGGGTCAGGTTCACCATGAGTTTCACCTAGTTGCAGCCTGGTGCGCAGGGCATTGTTACCTGGCTTGTATGTTTAATGGTTTGTCAAAAGCATGTATCTGAGACAGCCTTTTCTTTCAGTGTGGTGTAAGTGTGATATTTCCATTCCAGCTGATGTCTGGAAGTTTCCACCTGCCTTCTGAGATACACTCGAAGACCAAATTAGTAATAGCTTAATTCACATTGCTGTAAAACTTTGAAGTGTGTGAGACCTATTATGTTTATCTTTTAGGTTTTTAAAGACAATTGTTGCAAAAGAGAAGTCCTCAACTTATATGTATATTGCAGCAATGCTCCTGGATGTAATGCCAAGGTTATTCTGGGCCGGTACCAGGTTGGTATTACTCATGAACGATATCTGCTTTTGCCATTTTTCCAGGAATGTGTGTTGAACCCCTTTATGTGACAGTTACTGAGCTAAGCATGGTACAGGGATTCAGTGAATTGCCCTCAAGGATTCCCAGTCTAGCAATACAGGTGGCTACAGTGCTGTAGCCCACCTACGGCTGAGGTGTGAGTGAAGAGGTTCGTCCTGTATGGAGCGCATGGAGGACATCTTGTATCCACTAGACCTTAATTGTGTGGTAGGGATCATTGAGCCAAAAGAGAGGGCGTGGGACATGCTGGACAAAACAAACACTCAAGAATATGCCATTTTGGGGGAACTGTGTGGGACCCAGGGCATGACTACAGAAAGACACAATTGTGAGGTCCTTCCCCAAAAGCATTTGCTCTCTCACTTGGTGCTGTCGTAGGTGTTTCCCAGCAACTGTGGGACCTGGCCTCATGGGGTTTATGATCTAACGGAGATCACTCAGACCAGGACAGAGACAGGCTGTGGGTTAAAGGTGAAGCATTGATAGGAGAGACAAACCAACAAGGTGTAGGGGAAATGTGAGTGAAGGGGAATTGATGCCTTTCAAATGAAGTGACCCCAGCTGCTCTTCCTTCCAGCTAGGGAAGGTGGTTAAAGGGGAAGCTGGAAGTGTGGCGCTGCCTGGCAGGCCCATGTCAAGTTTGATCACACTGCAAGTGAACATGACTCAGGCTTCTCTAACTTCTAGGGAATTGCTGAGAGGCTGCTGAAATTTCTCCCGCACACCCACACATTTTGGAACACATATTTCAGATGATTCAGTCTTTTCTCTATCACACCTCCAAATCCCTCAGGGACTGAGCTTATAAATGTGTAAATGATTTCCTTGTTAATCCAGGAATTTATTTGGAGGTTCATAGAACTTTTGTTATGTTTTCATGTGTCTTTTGCCCCTTGTTTTGAATAGTCGAGTCCTAGAGCAAGGCCTTTTTTCCAACTTTGTTGTCACTAAGCCTAAAAAGTAAGTGAGGCTCAAATGGACCATTGAACAGCTTTAGTGACCAAAACTGGCTTATGGAGAGCAGGGCCTGGGTTCTCTCCACCTGTTTCTTTTATATTTCCCCTCATTCCTTGTTTCCCACCCACCCACTTCTATGGTAAGGTGTAGAATCTTACAGGTAGCAGAGTTTTGATGAATGTTGACTGTTTGGGTGAGAGTTGAGGAGTAATATCAACCAATTTTGGAGAAGAGATGGATTCCAACTGTGATCACCATATGATTCTTACTACCAGAGGTGAAGGAGAATAGCTGCATTTGTTTATCTCACTGTCAAAAAACTGTTTGCTTTTTCTTCTGAGAAGGGATCAGCAAACTCTCTTAAGAGTCAAACAATAATAATAATAATCATCATCATAATCATAAAAGAGCCAGATAGTAACTATTTTAGGCTTTGCAGGCCATACAGTCTCTGTCACAATTACTCAGCTCTCCCATTTTAGAGGCAAAGCAGCTATAGACAATATGTGAAGGAATAGGTGTGGCTCCTCTCCAATAAAACTTTAATTATAAAAACAAGTAGCAGGCCAGATTTGGCCTGTGAGTCTTAGCTTGCCAATTTTGTCTTAAAGGACCCTCAGGGGGACAAGTTCTCTAACATTTTGTTAACTTGCCAGCATCACAATAACTGCAGTGATTCAAAGGTTTTCACTGAGATATGCCTGCTTTTAAACCTCTAGAATGTTGGCCAGGCGTGGTGGTTCATGCCTGTAATACCAGCACTTTGGGAGGCCGAGGTGGGCAGATTACTGGAGATCAGGAGTTTGAGACCAGCCTGGCCAATGTGGCAAAACCCTGTCTTTACTAATAATACAAAAATTAGCCGGGCATGGTAGCTGGTGTCTGTAATCCCAGCTACTTGGGAGGCTGAGGCAGGAGAATCGCTTGAAACCTGGGAGGCGGAGGTTGCAGTGAGCCAAGATTGCGCCACTGCACTTCAGCCTGGGTGACGGTGCGAGACTCTGTCTAAAAAAAAAAAAAAACAAAAAAAAACCTAGAATGTCCAGCCTGGCCAACATGGTGAAACCCTGTCTCTACTAAAAATACAAAAATTAGCTGGGTGTGGTGCACACCTGTAATCCCAGCTAATCTGGAGGCTGAGGCACAAGAAGCTCTTCAACCCAGGAGGTGGAGGTTGCAGTGAACGGAGATTGCGCCACTTCACTCCAGCTTGGGTGACAGAGAGAGACCCTGACTCAAAAATAAAATTAAAAAAAATAAAATAGAATGTGAAGAACCCTGGAATGAACACTGTCCATGTAATCATTCTCTAATATTAAATAATATTAAATAGTATATATAGTTATATATTACATATAATATATTAAATACTATAATATATTGTTTATAATAAATACATTATTGACATGTAAATAAATGTTTATTTTTAATAATAAATAACAGAATATTTAAAATAACTTTTAAAATAAAATTAGAGAATATTTAAAATAAAATTTAAATAACTTATTATTTGTGTTACCTAGGCTGGAGCGCAGTGGCACAATCATAGCTCACTGCAGCCTCAAACTTCTGGACTCAACTGATCCTCCCACCTCAGCCTCCTGTGTAGTTGGGACCATAGGTGTACACCGCAACACTTGGCTAATTAAAAAAAAAAAATTGTGGAGACAAGGTATTGGGGTCTCACTGTGTTGCCCAGGCTGGACTTGAGTCCTGGCCTTAAGTGATCCTCCCATCTCAGCCTCCCAAATTTCTGGGATTACAAGCATGAGCCACCACACGTGGCCAATAAAGTATTATTAATGGTTAAAAATATTTCCTGACTTTACCAGTCTGACCATTCCTAGCTTCTCTTGGGCTTGCACACCTATATTTCCTCTGCCTCCTTTTCTTTATCATTTCTGGAATAGCTTACTGTCCCTTCTTTTCATCTTCTTAATCCTTTCCCTTTCTTCCTTGAGTTAGGATATGCCCTTCTCTCCTTTTTTCCTTTTCCTGTGTCCTTTTACCATCTGCTATGCAGAGACCCATACCTGATGCTGGAGGTTGGGATGAAGAGTCCACAAAAGAAATAAAAATGTCCTTGAAGAACTGGTAAATTAAGGAAAATATCCAAGAACTAACCTGAGAATATGAGCACATTATTAGATCATCTAAAACAAACTTGGTGTACTTCCCTCTTCACCTATCTTCCCCTGTCCTCTGAATTTCCCCCAGCCAAGACTGGCTTTCCCATCTCTGGTACAAGCAGCCCTCCCCATGCCCTCTCCTCAGCAGAGACAGTGGGCAGCATCCCCTGAGAGCCTACCCTCTGCCTTGCCCTGTGCAAGCCTTTCTGCCCAGCTGCCCACCCTGTTCTCTCTCCCTCCCTAGGCCTTCCAGCTGACTTCTTTCCTACCACCCTGGTCAGCAGGTCCCACTGGCCTGTTGTTATCTGTTGCAGGATCACCTTCAGCAGTGCTTATTTCAACCTGTGCAGTGTTCTAATGAGAAGTGCCGGGAGCCAGTCCTACGGAAAGACCTGAAAGAGCATTTGAGTGCATCCTGTCAGTTTCGAAAGGAAAAATGCCTTTATTGCAAAAAGGATGTGGTAGTCATCAATCTACAGGTGAAAAACAACACATACAACAGTCATCTTTATGGAGCTAAATTATGCCTGAGTGGTCACAGTGAATCAGGTGGAATGCCAGAAGAACATTCCTGCATTTATTTTTGTACAGAATTAGGTCTAAAGAATTTGCTTTTTGGAGAGAAGTTCTGTGAAAAGCTTAAAACCTTCTTGTTGGTAGCACTCCATTTATTATTGGCAAAAATATTATTTGAACACATGCTGTGTATGTGTAATGAATGCTGGGTGCTGAGTCACAAGGAGGTGACAATAATGTCTACTCTCTGAATTCTGCAGTGTAGCTGGGGAGGCAGGATGCAGGCATAAAAAGAAAGCATGGGTACCTTTTACATGTCCCGAAGGAGCTATGCTGGCAGTTCCCCAATCTACCTTCTTTGAATCCTGTGTTCTATGACTTTCTTTTGGAATAATTGGAAAATTTAATATTTTAATTAAGTTCATTTACACCTAGAAAGTGGACATCTTTAATCCTTTTTTGGAATTAGGCAATAACTTCCTGTAGAGAGTAAGCCACGTGACATATAATCCCCAAAGAGACACAGGTGTAATCACTGTGAGGCCATGAAAGACAACCCTTTGTTTTATTGCACTTTCTCTATTTCAGAATCATGAGGAAAACTTGTGTCCTGAATACCCAGTATTTTGTCCCAACAATTGTGCGAAGATTATTCTAAAAACTGAGGTAACTGCAAATAATCCTCTCTGTAGATTTTATGGAAGATAACGTTTTAGTAATCATTGTGGTCTGTGTTTGATACAGTCCCAAAGATAAGGGCCCAGGGCTTAAATTACACGCATGACCATGACGTATCTGTCTTCCCTTCTCTTTTTCCTGCGAACTCTCTTCAACTTTCATCATAGCTCTTTCTTGCCAGGCCTCTCTCCTTCTCCTGGTCCTTGCCTTCTTCCCAAGCCACTCTTGGCTCCCTGATTGCTGCAGTTGGAGAATAAGTGATGAATTTCTATAGCTTGTGACTATCCATTTCGTAGGTAGATGAACACCTGGCTGTATGTCCTGAAGCTGAGCAAGACTGTCCTTTTAAGCACTATGGCTGTGCTGTAACGGTATGGAATGACTTTTTGTTTCTGCCTATACATTCTACTGTATAATTCACTTGGCAAGTTCAGTTTACTCTCTGTTCCATCGAGGATGGAGAAAGACATACAGTTCTGAGAAATTTAAGGCTAATTATTTTAGAGTTCTCCAGAGAAACAGAACCAATGGGATATATACATATATAGAGAGATTTATTTTAAGAAGTTGGCTCTTGCAGTTGTGGGGGCTAGCAAGTCCAAAATCTGCAGGGCAGCTCAGCAATCTGGAAACTCTGGCTGGAGTTTCTATGCTGCAGTCTTGAGGAGAAGCATTTTTTTCTTCAGGAAACCTTAGTGTTTGCTCTGAAGGCCTTCAAATGATTGGATGAGGCCCACCACACTATGGAGGGTAATCTGCTTACTTCAAGTCTACCAATTGTTTTCATCACATCTGCAAAATACCTTCACAGCAACATATAGACTTGTTTTGAGCAAACAATTGGGCACCATAGCCTAGCCAGGTTGACACATAAAATTAACCATCACAATAATTATTCGGGTTTTTTTTTTTTTTTTTTTTTTTTGAGACAGAGTCTTGCTCTGTCACAGGCTGGAGTGCAGTGGCATGATCTCGGCTCAATGCAACCTCTGCATCCTGGGTTCAAGCAATTCTCCTGCCTCGGCCTCCTGAGTAGCTGGGATTTCAGGCACCCGCCATCATGCCTGGCTAATTTTTGTATTTTTAGTAGAGACAGGGTTTCACCATGTTGGCCAGGCTGGTCTTGAACTTCAGACCTCAGGCGATGCGCCTGCCTCGGCCTCCCAAAGTGCTGGGATTACAGCACCGTGCCTGGCCCACAGTAATTATTTCTAATTTTGATTCCATTGCCTCCACCTGGTTTGGGAACCTTCTGGGGTTACTCCTCTCATGATTACAAATCCTGGTTTTATGGTGATATACTCTTGTATATCACCAAGTATACTGAAACAAAATGGACTTAAAATCGTGTTTTAATATGTATGTTATTACCTTTTAAATACTTTAAAATAATAATGAATTACACAAAATAAAAATAAAATTTGATTTCTACTTCAGTCTTTTTAATAGATTCCAGGTGGAGCAAAGTTTTAGGCATTAAAATATGTCATGCTCTGTATTATTCTGTATTTTCTGTAAATCTAAAATTATTCCAAAATAAGAAGTTAACTTCAGAAATCATGAAAATACTAGAAGGAAAAATGAGTGAATTTTTTTATTCTTAAAGAGGCTGGTGCGATGGCTTATGCCTGTAATCCCAGCATTTTGGGAGGCTGAGGTGGGTGGATCATTTGAAGTCAGGAGTTCGAGAGCAGCCTGGCCAACATGGTGAAACCCCGCCTCTACTAAAAATACAAAAGTTAGCTGGGTGTGGTGGTGCACGCCTGTAATCCCAGCTACTTGGGAGGCTGAGGTATGAGAATCCCTTGAACCCGGGAGGCCAAGGTTGCAGTGAGCCAAGGTCGCGCCACTGCACTCCAGCCTGGGCAATAGAGTGAGACTGTCTCAAAATAAACAAACGAAAAAACCCCCCCAACAACAACAAAAGCCCTTTCTTAAATGACTAACACAAAACCAGAAGCCATAATTTTGATAAATTTGTAAATATTTAAAACTTCTGTATGATTTTAAAAAATACCATAAAGTCAAATAGCAAACAGTGAACTGGAGGGAAAAGTTTGCAACATATGATCAGACAAAAAAAAGGGGGGGGCTATTTTCCTTAATATACAAAGAAACCTTACATGTTAATAACCTACTCAACTTAATGGAAAAATAGGCAAAGAAATATAGTATATGGGCAGTTCCAGAAAAAAATTCATTTGGCTGATAAATGTAAGAAAAGATGCTCAGTTTCACTCCTAAATAAATATACATTATAACAAGAAATATACTTTAATATCATCAAATTGACAAAGATTAAAACATCTTATGATATCTCACTTTTTTTAGGGCAATTTGGTTATCTCTATGAAAATAAAAAATGAATCCACACATTGACCCTGCATTTCTGCTAGGATTTATGTTACAGATATCCTTTCTTAAGTTATACAGTGATTTCACATACACAAAGACACACAAAGATGTTTATTCTACTATTGTTTGTATAGCAAAAAAACCCCACAACCCAAAGCTAAAAACAACCTGTAAGTCTATCATTAAAACACCAACTATATAATTATGTATTCATATTTTAGAATACTATGTAGCTGATAAAAATGAGATATATGTAAAAAATTAAATATAGTATGTTCTCATTTGTGTTAAAAATGTGTATATCCTTACTGACACTCTGGTAAAACTAGGAAAGTGGGTGTGGAGATGGACAGAAGAGGCCTTTTACTTTTTATTCTTCATCTTATGTTGTTTGACATAAGCACATATTTCTTTTATTTTAAAAACCATTTGAAAAAATGTATATTCTGAGAAGGATTTAAAAAAAAATCAGCGAAGAGTCTATAAATTTGTCACATATCAAACCAGAGGTTGTCTTGGCTGCAAAAAGAATAGGGTTTACCTTTCTTGTGCATGAGCACAATTGTCCAGCTTGGGCAACATATTGAAACCCTGTCTCTACCAAAAAATACAAAAATCAGCCAGGTGTGGTGGCGCACCCTGTAGTCCCAGCTCCTTGGGAGGCTGAGGTGGGAGAATCCCTTGAGCCAGGGAGGCAGAGATTGCAGTGAGCCAAGGTCATGCCATTGTACTCCAGCCTGGGCAACAGAGTGAGACCCTGTCTCAAAAAAAAAAAAAAAAAAAAAAGCAGAATTGCTTTCTAGCTCTAAAAATGATCTTTACAGTCAGGCCCAAATCTCCAGTTGGTTTGTATTCTAGAACTTGCCTCAGCACCAGAGCTTGGGATGGCTGGGGGAGTTATTCTCCGGAACCTTATTTAGGACAGCCTGTCACCAAAGAAGCCAACCCTAACCCGAATGAAAATTGATGATAAATATTTAGTTAAACTGCATGGATCACCTTGAACACCTAACAAACATTTGCTTTTACTGTAATATAGGCAGTCTACAAAAAAAAATATTTTAATGATTAGGGAAAAAGCAACCATTTCTTCTTGCAAATGTAGTCTATGGTTTTGAGGGCAACAAATTTGTATGGGCTGAAATTAAAATCAGGTGGCATTCCTCCTGCCCATGGCAGCCAGTCCGTGATTGGAGGCAGCATGGAAATGTGCTTGACAGGAGGAAGAACTAGCGTTGACTTAAAACTGATTTGAAGAGGCCAGGCGCTGTGGCTCATGCCTGTAATCCCAGCACTTTGGGAGGCCAAGGCAGGTAGATCATGAGGTCAGGAGTTCGAGACCAGCCTGAGCAATATGGTGAAACCCCCGTCTCTACTAAAAATACAAAAATTAGCCAGGCATGGTGGCATGTGCCTGTAATCCCAGCTACTCGGGAGGCTGAGGCAGGAGAATCACTTGAACCCAGGAGGTGGAGGTTGCAGTGAGCCAAGGTTGTGCCACCATACTCCAGCCTGGGCGACAGAGCAAGACTCCATCTCAAAAAACAAACAAACAAACAAACAAAACTGATTTGAAGATAACCCTCAAAGGAGATAGGTTTTATATGGGAATAGTTGAGAGATGATAATAACTACGCTTAACCCATAGTCATATACTCCCAGGGCAAGGAAGAAAATCAGCACTGAGAATTTTGATATTGGCCTGATTCTCTGTCTCATGGATATTGTAGAATCCTAAAGCTGGGGCCAGGTATGGTGGCTCAAACCTGTAATCCCAGCACTTTGGGAGGCCAAGGTAGGCAGATCACTTGAGGTCAGGAGTTCGAGACCAGCCTGGCCAACATGGTGAAACTCTGTCTCTACTAAAAATACAAAAATTAGCTGAGTGTGGTGGTGCACACCTGTAATCCCAGCTACTCGGGAGGTTGGGGCACAAGAATCGCTTGAACCCGAGAGGCAGAGTCTGCAGTGAGCCAAGATCATACCACTGTACTCCAGCCTGGGCAACAGAGCAGGCTGTCTCAAAAAAAAAACAAACAAAAACAAACTAAAGCTGGAAAAGGGACCCACTGGAGTCATTTTTCCTGCAACCCACCTAGAGACTGGTGCGTGTTTAAACTATTAAAGTAAGCAAAGTTGTTAAGATTCTATTTTAGCAGAATATCCTACCACCTCTTTCATTTTTGGAGCCTCTCAGCAACCTGACTTATTTTTCTCTTCATATTGAAGGATAAACGGAGGAACCTGCAGCAACATGAGCATTCAGCCTTACGGGAGCACATGCGTTTGGTTTTAGAAAAGAATGTCCAATTAGAAGAACAGGTAAATCTTCAAAGGTTCAAATAAAAAGTGAGGCAACAGAATTGCTGGGATTTACCTGCTCTATGCTGGTATTTTTCTATTCTCCCCTGTTTCAGTATAAGTCAATTAGAGGTAGATGTTTTTCTATTAAGTGGCCAAACAGGCTCATAGGATTATAGAACATTAGAATTGGAAGGTGCCCTTAGGATCCTTGGGTCCATCCTCCTCATTCAACAGATAAAATAACTGAACTCTGAGAAATTTTTATATGTTTTAATCGTAAGTAGCATAATTCAATCTCAAAATCCATGTCCTCTGATTCTAAGTCCAGTACTCCCCATGGTATACCATAACTGCCTCTCAATAGCCTGTCTACACACCTTTTGGTTAATATCTGACACTTAGCAATTTGATGTTTCAGTTAAATTAATATTACTGTGAAACAACAGTTGACTATTCTAAGCACTATGGGTTTTATAAATTTTGTGATAAGTCTAAACTGCCTTTGCAGAAGCTTTGCAACCCAATAAATGCATACATACACACTTATTTCACTGAGTTGTGATTATCAAGGGAAATTATATGCAAATGCCTGCCATAGTGCCTGTGGCATTCCTATTAACCTCAATAAATGCTGATTCTATTGAGCAATTTTTAGGAAAGTTAATTATTTTGTTAGAACATCTCAGAAAATCAGACTTTTCAAGCCCAGGTAGGGAAGAAAACCATCCATTTTCAGAAAAGGAGCTGATGTTTACTACTGCAGATGATTTTTTGATGTCTGATTTTCTATTAAAGTAGGTGTGTGAGTTCCAGGGTCAGATTCTGGAGAAAATTAGGAAGACTGATTAAACAGTAACTTTGGTAGAAGGCATGCTCCCTAGTAACCGTTCCCAAGTTTTTTCTGTATCAGTTGCCTCATTCATCCATCTTTTCATTCAAGAAACACCTACTGTAT